>NC_000014.9:72035955-72187470 GCF_000001405.40 Homo sapiens | reverse complement strand
AATGCATCTAACCTAAGGAACCATGCCATCTTCTTATGGCAGAGCTAACAACCAACAACTACTAATAGACCACCTGTGACCCTGAGCTTTGTAGAGGAATAGAATCAGCACAATCTACTTGTAGCCACATGATAGAGGCATCTTTGAAAAAAATGTCATCTTTGTGCCAATAGCATTTTACATGAGTAGTTATACACAGCCAAGTGCTTTCTCAACTTATTCAAGACATATTCAGCAATATCCTATAAGGCAGTGCTCATTTACTGAGGCTCAAGTTTCTTGATGTTAACTGTAGATTTTTTTAAAAAATCAATGCATCTATTTGAATCAGAGGGATATTTGAATAACCAACAATAATGGCTTTACATTTTCTAAGCCCTTTAAAGCTTTTGAGGGCTTTCCTGTTCATTTTCTCTTTCTTGAGGCATTTGCTCTAGTTACAAAGCAGAAAGTCTAAATGGCCATTTTTTGACACTTTCCATTCAGGGAGAAACTGACCCTTTCACCTGAAGGTGTGTGATCATTACATCAGCCTTTCTGCAACTGAACTGGTCCTCTCAAGGGCTCAAAAGAAGTTCTGTTGCCCCAGAGACAGACATTATTCCCATGCATTTATGCAATCAGATCCTACAACTGCTCCCACTGACTCATTTAAGCTGGGACACATGTATTCGGCATCAGCATCTGTTTAAATAGCACTTATTGCCATAGTAGCTAGGCACTTGGACAAGCCTGCTATTTTTGCAAGAAAATGAAAAAAAAAATGTAGATGAAGTAAATAGAGGTCGGTACTAAGGCCTGTAGTAATCATCTTCCTTGGCAGGCAGAGCAGGAGGGTTAGAATCAGGTCAAATTGTCCCCAGTAAAAGGCGTCAGTCATCTGGAATGTTTTTATTATCCCAGACAGAAATAGGTCACCTCAGCACACTCAAAGTTGGCCAATTAGACCGAAGTTCTTGTGCAGTAAGAAATAAAGGAAGTAGATGCTTAGCAGAAGACCTCTCCCCTCCCAAAGGAGGCAAAACAAAATTCCTGGAGAAGATAAACACATCAAAGCCTCAGATGCTAAAAGTTACCTCCCTCAAGGGCAATTTGCAGGCTCCTGTTAAGGTGCTTGGTGGTGTACTATACAGAACTTACGCAAACTCGGCTGTATTCCATCTGCGTTAATGCCCAGCAAAATACACTTAGAAATAACATAGGTCAGGATAGCAGACAGATTTTGTCTACATTGAGAAGGATTCATGGACTCAGTTTAGTGAGAGAGAAATGGGATCAGCTGATAAAATCTGCTTTGGTAAGGGCAGTTTTGCCTTGGCAGGCATCTCCAGCCATAGGCTTTGGGGTCAAAGGCACCGGACTCAAATCTTCAACACCCTCCACGCCAGCTGCCTAGATATGGCAATCACCTATTAGATACTCAGTTCCTCCATTTACATAGAAGAGAATAATACTCACAGGATTATTTTGAGGATCAATGACTTGTTAGGAAAGTGGTTGATGTGTGAAAAAATTATGTACGAATTATAATTTTTTTTGAGACAGGGTCTTTGTCACCCAGGCTCAAGTACAGTGGCCTGAGCTCATTGCGGCCTTGACTCAAGCTCAAGCAATCCTCCAATTTCAGCCTCCTGAGTAGCTGGGATTACATAAAAGTACACACTACCACACCTGGCTTTTTACATTTTTTGTAGAGATGGGGTCTCCCCATGTTGCCCAGGCTGGTTTGGAACTCCTGGGCTCAGTAATCCGCTCACCTCAGCCTCCCAAAGTGTTGGGATTACAGGCATGAGCCACAGCACTTGGCTGGTAATTTTTTATTATCTATAATTACTGCAAGTTCATCCATGAGTATCAGTTACATCTACTTCACAATCCAGTCCAAATAATTCACACTCTACACTAGTTAACCACATTCTATCCTTCATTTGTCATACTGTTATTTTGTGATATTAAATATTGATTGAAATAAATTTGTTATTGAGAGGACTTGGATATAACCATTACTCTCATCAAGAGTTTTCTATGAGGGTATTTTGGTAGGATTTGACTTGTCAAAAACTAAAGCATGTCATTTACAGAAACACTCAAATAGAAACATACATGTGATGGTTAATACTGAGTGTCACCTTGATTAGATTGAAGAATGCAAAGTATTGTCACTGGGGGTGTCTGTGAGGTTCTTGCCAAAGGAGATTAACATTTGAGTCAGTGGACTGGGAGAGGCAGACCCACTCTCAATCTGGGTGGGCACCATCTAATCAACTGCCAGCACAGCCAGAATAAAGCAAGCAGAAGAACATGGAAGGACTAGACTTGCCGAGTCTTCTGGTCTTTATTTTTCTCCCACGCTGGATGCTTCCTGCCCTTGAACATCAGACTCCAAGTTCTTCGGCTTTTGGACTCTTGGATTTACACCAGTGGTTTGCCAGGGGCTCTTGGGCCTTCGGGCACACTGTTGGCTTCCCTACTTTTGAGGTTTTGGGACTCGGACTGGCTTCCTTGCTCCTCAGCTTGCAGATGGCCTACTGTGGGACTTGACCTTGTGATGATGTGAGTCAATACTCCTTAATAAACTCCCTTTCATATGTACATCTATCTATCCTATTAGTCCTGTCCCTCTAGAGAACCCTGACTAAGACAATACATATAAATACATTTAACAGAATTTTACATTTGTGCAAACAATACTTTTTGCCAGTAGGATAAAACATTTATCTTCTTGTGCTTAAGCAAATAATAAACTTTGCCAAGTGACAGAAAGGCAAATTAGACTTTTTTGCATCTATTCCATAAGAGACACAAGAATAACTATAAGGGAATATGCCCAAGTCCCCCCTTCTGCCTTTTATTTCAAACAGAGCATTTTAAGATCTGGAATATCTGTGATAGGTTTAAAAACAGTCATAGTTTACTTGTACATAATGAGTATAATATGTATTCCAGGGAAAGCATAAATTAACTATAAACTCATTAACTCTCAACAAAGATACCATTTTCATGGTTTCCCTTAAGTGGTTTGTTGGGTTGGGCTTCTCTCTCTTTCTCTCCCTCTTTCTGTGTGTGTGTGTGTGTGTGTGTGTGTGTGTGTGTGTGTGTGTTTGAAAGTAAAATACTTCTGTTATATGAACAAGAAATCACTTTGTGCCAGTACTTTTGTTTTACTAATAGCTTAAAGAAGGTATTTGTAAGCCTCACAGACTGTATAAATTATGTCATTTATTTATTCAATAAATATTTGCGAGAGCACTGTAAAAGATAAAAAGATGAATGAGGTCCAGTTTCTGCCTATAAGAAGCTTCAAGAAGGAGAAATAACATCTGGGAAAAAGCCTCACAGGGTGTGTGAGATTGGGCTAAGTAGAGGCAAGGTGTAGGGACAATAAATTTGCTTTTAATTAGGAAAGTCCAATCAAAAGCAAACCTTTGAATTCAATATTACAGAAACTACAGAACATTCAAACCCACAAGAAAAAGTCTGAATGTGGAGACTGATGGTAAACAAACTCCTAAATGGCATACTATTAGGATTTCATACATCAATCATCTAGAATATTTACCCTGAGTTGAGCCAACACGAGCAACTACATCCTGCAAGATGAAGAATCATCATTCCCAAAGCTTACTATACTCCTTCCCCCTCAAGGCACATATGGCCACATAGAGGCAGCTCTGAGGCACAGAAGGAAAAAGAATTCCTTGCACCTAATTTAAGATATCAGCATGCTTGCTTTGGTATTTATTTTATTTTCTTCTTCTCTGTTTTTAAACTTTCTGCAATATCTCTTTTCCCACTTACTGTATGTCCCCCTCCCAGCTTCCAGGTTTAACGTATTATTCATGTTCTTTCAAAGACAATGTCCCCCTGCTGTAATGTAAATGTATGTACTATTTATGTACCAATTGGAACTGTGTGTCCTACCTTGGAGTTGAAGATTAATAATTGTTCTCAGTGAGTCAATGATCAAACCACTGCAGACCCAGATATAAAACTCTACCTGCAATTATACCTATGTTATTATGATAATTTATAGACCTACAATATAAGTACTAGGCCAGACCCAGAGTCTATTAATCCTACAAATTATACAAAAGGCTACACTGGGTCTTGGATCTACATGCAGGAGAGATATATGACTGTGAATGTAAAAGACAGAAGAGACGTTTGCAGGGACAGAAGCAATTCAGCCAGGTTTGAGTATTACAATGCAATTACCTAAGCAGATGGTCTTTTTCCCAGCAGAAATGGAGAGTAGTCATTGAATACTTTATATCTTGCAATTCTTGGCTTAACCTCATTTTAAGGTGACATAAAGTAAGCCTACCTTATCAGATCAAACAAAAAAGGGCTTTTAAACCTGCAATTAATAGCACATCTGAAAGCCAGGAAGAATGTATTTCAAAAGTCACATCTGCATAAGCATCTACTTTCATGTGGTCTCTATCAAATGTTTCTGGGACCTTACCATGTGGCTGAAGGAGGTGCTAGCCCGGGGTGGGTCATGGAAGTAACTCAAACTACATCATTCTTTCTTTCAGTCACATATAACCTGAACAACAGAGAGTATGAAAAAAAATCATCAACGACAACAACACTAAATGTTTTTCCAAAGCTCTTCAAGACACAGCTTTGTAAAGTTCTGCTAAATCGTGCCCATTCAAACCTTTAACCAAAAACAGTCATTGGCACATTTCCCCACAATGGATTTTCCCTCTTACCTACTAGAAACTTGCTGCTGAGCTCATCTAAAATAGTGGGAGCACTTCTCTGACTTTTTCCCAGCCTCTTTAAAAACATCATATTTTCATTTGCTCTCATGTGAACCAAGTTTTCACTTGACTTTCGGTATGGACAGATGTTACTGTCAGCAGTTTCCCAGAACACCCTGTCCACCAT
This sequence comes from Homo sapiens, assembly GCF_000001405.40. Lineage (NCBI taxonomy): Eukaryota > Metazoa > Chordata > Mammalia > Primates > Hominidae > Homo > Homo sapiens. The sequence goes on along the minus strand of NC_000014.9, from coordinate 72,182,574 downwards.
CTCTCTCTCAGGGAATTAAAAAGCCATGGTGCTATTGGGTTGCACTACGGAGTGCAAGGAGTGCAACCTAGCATTTTAAATTTTGCTTGGTTGGAGTTAATAGAAAATATAAGCTATTCTTTCTTACTTTCTTGCTTGCTTTTTTTTTTTTTTTTTTTGAGATGGAGTCTCTCTTGGCACGATCTCGACTCACAGCAACCTCCGCCTCCCGGGTTCAAGCGATTCTCCTGCCTCAGCCTCCCGAGTAGCTGGGACTACAGGCATGTACCACTGAGTAGCTAGGACTACAGGCGTGTGCCACCAGGCCCGGCTAATGTGTTTGTATTTTTAGTAGAGATGGGGTTTCACCATGTTAGCCAGGATAGTCTCGATCTCTTGACCGCATGATCCGCCCACCTCGGCCTCCCAAAGTGCTGGGATTACAGGCGTGAGCCACTGCGCCTGGCCTAAGCTATACATTTTCTAAAGAAAAGAATGAGAAAAAAAACCTCACACCTGATTTCATTATGGAAAGAATAGTTTTCATGTCTGAATTGTGGTGAAAATCCAAACTGAACCATAATGAAAAACAAGGAGTGGACAGCAACAAATCTAAGTAATGTTCCTTTCCTTTTTTGTGGTAAATCAGTCACTTAGTAATCTGCAAGTGCACATACATTTATTACTGATAATCATTCTGTTGTCACTGCATATTTGTGTAAGAAGGACAAATTTTTGGTAACTCTAGTTAATTTTAATGTGCGTCACTCTGACTCTATTAGGCACATAGTAGGTACTCAAATGCTGGTTAAAAACAAAAACTAAAAACCCTCATGTTATTAGGAAGGCAAAGAAACAGCTTACTAGTATTCAAGGTTATAGAGAACCTGATTATTTTACCATATCATCAAGGTATAGGCTTTTTAGAGTAAATATCAATCTTTCAAATATGGTTGAAGAGGTTTTACTCCATACAGTGCAAATCAGTATATAGCACATTATGCAGAAGGAATCAGTTTAGTCCTGTTAAGCCACATTCCATGGTATACATAGGTGCTCCAAGTCCCTACACCTGAAGGCTCAAATAACAGCAGTGTCAATTCAGATTTTTATTCTTCAAAGGTAACACATTTAAGTAACAAGCAATTTGCTCTCTTGCAGAGCTCTGAATGATGGCAAAAAATGAATGTCCTCTCAGCACCTTATGATCAGGAAGACTTTGGCTTTGAACACTGTCTGCACAGCAATTATGAGAGCTTGAATCAAACTATCAGGTCTTAAATATGACTTGTCCCTGAGGCATAATAATCACCCAGCAAAGAAAATTATTTTACCTGCTCCTTACTGAGTCATGAAGGTCAAGGGATGGAAAATCCCATTCCCCACACTGAACTAACCAAAATATTTTAACAATAGCTTTCTCTGATGTGAATTATAATTAAATGGGGACAAATAAAGCAAAGTACTTTAATTAAAGCAATTCTGTAGAGACACTGAAGGGATGTCTTATAATAAATTCCCATTCCCAGCTGCTGCCCAAACTTTCCAGAATTAAGAGAAAACCTGAATACAAATAGAAGGAGAGAGTTATAATATAAGAGCTTTCTTACACTGTCTTAGTCTGTGCTGCTATAATAGAATGCTCAGTAATTTATAAAGAAATTTATTTCTCACAGTTCTGGAGGCTGGGAAGTCCAAGAGCATGGCACAGGCATCTGGAGAGGATTGTCCCATGGTGGAAGGGGGAAGGTGGAAGCAAGCACATGAAACAAGAGAAAATGGCAGCCAAATGTATCATTTATATCAGGACCCCACTCCCAAGATAGCAAACTCATTCCCATGATAACAGCATCGATTCAATCACCTCCCAAGGGCCCCACGTCTCAACACTACTGCAAAGGCAACCAAGCTCCTAACACAAGAACTCTTGGGGACATATTGAAACCACAACATACACTCTGGCTATCTTGGCTATTTAAAATATGTGAGGTGAATTTTCCATTTTTCAAATTGATAATAAACCTCAATTAAATAGATATGGAGCATCACTGAGACAGAATTTCCCATGATAGCCAATTGAGTCTATGATAACCCAAGACTGAGATTTTCTCAAGGGTAGTACAAAATGCTATGTATCATAAAGGTTAAGATCGAAGTTGCCTTCATCTGTCTTGTATAAAGTTTGGAGTGAGCCATTCATTTCCCATTCTATTCAATTACACAAACATTGATTAAGCATCTCTTATATTCAATTCCAACAACAGCTGCTATCTGGAGAGGTGCCTTTGTCTAGTCCAACTCAAGATTTCTGGTGGCTAAGATTTTATTTGCTTGGGAATACAACTGTTACTGAAGCACTACACCCAAAATGCCAGCTCAGATGTAAGAAGAGATGTGATACACTGATGTTTCAATGGATCACAGTAGTCCTTGGCAGTTTTAGCTACCATACAAATAATGGAAGAGAAATAAACTTGGCTTGTGATTCTCCCAGCAGTAAAGGCTCAAACTTCCTTCTTAAACTCCCATTAGTTTTGCACCTCTAATCCTGAAAATACAACTATCACTAGAGATGCTCTGCAGGACAGCCAACACAGAAAGCACCTGACCCATTAGAATAAGGAGTTGTTCTTCTGACAGTGCTGTTGGATTTGTTGTGATCCTTAAACAATGGTGGTTTTCAAACTTCAATGTGCATTAGAATCATCTGGTAGGCTCATTATAACACTGATTGCTGGACCCACCTCCAGGATTTTTGATTCAGTAGGTCTGGGGTGGGACCCAATAATCTGCATTTGTAACAAGTTCCCAGGTGATGCCCATCCCACTGGTTTTGGGACCACACTTTGAGAATCACTGTTACATGAGCTGACTCAATTCACAAATAACCTAAAAGTATAACCCCCTTCAAATATGAAGTTAACAGTACAGGGGGTGGGGGGTGGGGAAGGGAACATACAAATCACAAAAAAATGGTGTTGGCAGGAATCAATGCAAATATTTGGCTGAGTATTCTCTGCTTCTTTTGAGATTGGAGTCATACATTGCATATAGTAGGGACACACAGAAGGCTCCCCTTTCCTGTCCCTGCCATGCGGCTATGTTACTGCTAATTAGCAGCACTGCTGCCCACACCTGTTGGGAATATCTGTTAGTTTAATAAACACTGGACCTACCATGTGCCAGGCACTATTATAAACTGAGCGGTGCTTGCCAGCTCAGGGAGACCGGCTAGAAATTGTTGAGACATGAAATCTAGCCTGATAGCCCTCTTCAAGCAAGCCAGCTGAATTTTAGGAATCCCAGCATGCCCCATCCCACCTGGGGCAGGCACTCATATGCAGATTAGGCATGCATTTCAGCCACAAAAAGGGGCAAAGGAGATTAACTTGCACAATACAGAAAAAGACCTTTGCTCACAATTTTTGGAATAATCTGTTCCAATGCGGGGGCTCACTGGTCTATTTTCACCTTTCAAAGCAGCTTCTTACTTTTCCAGAGAAAATCTTGGGCCAGATTTCTGTTTCATGATTTTCTGGTTATTTTTATGATTGAGATATTCTTAGTTTTCGCCAGGTCAGAAATATGTGCTGGATCCCACATGACAAAACGTCGTGCATAAATGTCTAGAAACCGTCAGTAAGGATATTTACAAACCCAAGGCGGGGACTTTCCCCAAGATCAGATAACATCAGTTCTTTCTGGATCTATGAGGGCACTGCCACAAGTGCAGGACTATTCTAAGTCTGAAAGTTTGAACTATTTATAGAAATTAGGAAGACCTTTCCCCTTTAAAAAGTTATGTGGTATTACCTGAGATGTTCACTACTAACACTCTGTTTTGTCATAGTCCACGACCCTGCAATTTAGGTAGCCTATCCCTAGGTGTCAGTAATGCGTCAGTACCTCCCAGCCTTGAGTAGGGCTTTTGGCAAAACCCTTCCCTTTCTTCAATACGAAGAATTTTCATGAAACATTTTGTATATACCAGATAACAAGCTAAGAACCAAGAATAGAAAGACAAACTGACCTGGCCCTGACTTCATCACAAGTATAATTCTTTATTAAGATAGCTAAACTTCAGCAAATAATAAACACAAGTTGTAAAGATGTTTTGGTGCAGCTCTTGAAAGAGCGAACTGGAACTCAAGGAGGCCTAGAACGTCTCAGGATAGGAGGAGATCAGGAAAGACTGGCCTCTGGTAATATGCCAGAATCAGGACTGTCTGAGGGGGAAAGGGGTGTCCCTCCTGCAGAAGGCTGGGTTCTTTGGTTGGAGGAAGCACTCTGAGATATCACAAGTGTGGGCTCCACCCAGTAGGGCAGGGGCTGGGTGGCCACAGCCTTAGGCAATGTCTGGAAGAGTATGAGAGATAGCTTAGTGTATGTGATGCTAGCTACAGTGACTGTAACTGGAGTTAATCTGTAAGTGAATGAATGAATGACTGGAAGAAAATGGTCCACCAACCTATGTCCATCCTGAGATCTGGTTTTCAGTGAGTGAGAAACAACAGCCAGCAGACCAGCAGGTGCATTGGCTGCAGGAATGCGAGTCAGGGAGGAAACAGACTAGCACCTATGGGAGAAGGTTGTCTGGTAGGGAGCAAAAAGTGGGGGAGGAAGAAAAGAGGCTCAGCCACTGCCCTTGAAGGACCAATGGCACATGGCTAGACTGGTTGAACAAGGAAAAGCCTAAGAACACATTTTCGTATTCTCTCGACATGTAGTTGTGGATGTTAAGATAACAGCATGAAGTAAACTGGGCTTTTCTCAGTAAATTCCATGCGATTTTCTCCTATTACTAGAATTGGTCATTTACAACTAAGCCATTATTGATGCAATTATGAGAAGATGAAAGCTCAAAGGCCATTTAGGAACTACCCTGTACAGCCTTTATATTTTATAAATGAGACAATAAGATCTAAGGGATCCTGTAATATACCCACAGCCAATTATTTCGTATTGTGCTAGAGGACAAAACTAGAAAGCAGACCAAAAATCTTTCCATTACTTAAATCTACCTCTCTGCCCCTTTACTTGATTCCTTTTAATCATTATTCCCATGTCAGCTTTCCCTGGACCTACATGTAGTAAAAAGTTATTCTTAATGAGTCTTCCCTAGTCTCTGGTTGGACTGGTGCCATGCTTCCCCTGGGATTTCTCCAGCATCCTGCCTTTCTGCACCAGCACAAGCCATCTACTTACCCTGCTCACAAGAGAGCATTTTCAGCCTCCCTGCTCAAAGACACCCTGTTTACTACCTTTGTCATGGGCAGAAGAATAGAACAAATCAAATATAAAGATACAAATAGGCCTACCTATATGTGGCCTATGGAACCTATAATTCGAATCTTATCCATCTGAGAGACATGGGTGCCTATGTCCACCAAAAGATATGCACAAGATGTTCACGGCAGTTTCATTTGAAAAAAACAAAAATTAGAAATAACTCAAATTTCCATCAACAGGTGAATGGATAAACAAATTGTGGTTTATTCATGCTGTGGAATTATACACAGCATTAAAAAAATGATACATGCAAAATCTTGGATAAATTTCATAAACGTTATATTGAGGAGAAGAAAGTCAGACACAAAAAAGTACACATATCATTTCATTTATGTTAAGTTAAAGAACAGGCAAAATTGATTAATTGATGGAAGTCAGAATAATGGTTATCTTGGGGAGAGATTGGAAAGGGGCACAAGAGCTCCTTCTGGGGTGGTGGGTTGGTCTGTATCTTGACCTAAGTGAACATTACATGGGCGAGCGTGTGTGTGCACATGTGCGTATGTGTAAAAGCTCATGGAGACAGACAAGATTAGTGGACTTTATATTTTCAGCCTCTTCCAGTTTAAAATAAATCTTCCCTAGTTTAAAATAATCTTTCTATTCAGGTAGATTCAAATATTTTCATGAACTCATCACTGTTCACGGACCTAAGCTCACTCTTTCCCAGCTTCCTCCCTCACTTCCAAGCCGACTGGACTCCCAGAAGCCTTCAGGCTTGCTCTTGGCTCTTTGTAAGGGGATTGTCTCCTATATGTGGGCAAAGGGATGTCAGAGGAAAAGGCACAGCACAGCGGTGCATGGCTATGCGCTCAGCAGGCTCTGTGTGCCATCTGAAATCCTCATCCCTTTTGGTGGTATCTATTTCTGTGTTCTTTCCCTCTTGCTCTGAAGGCACCACAGCAAGTCTGCAGGTCCTACCCTCAGCAAACTCAAGGAGCAAAATCCCATTTCCCCCTTTCTGTAGAGACCCCCTAAAGCACATAGGGAAGTATGCCCCATGTCATCTCCCCCAATGAGGGGTGGGAGGAGGGAAGATGTATCACTTTCTTGGGTTCCACAAATGTAGTTCTCCAAAACTCAGGCTTTTCCCCTCTCCCTCAAAAACTGCTTCAAAGCAATGCACTTACATCACTGTTATGAAACCCCAAAACAAATTTTGCCTTACTTCAACTAAGGGGTGGACTGGAAAAATCACAGGGACTCAGGGCCACCTATGAGATTTGCCACTTGGAATTTATTGTCTTTGTTTTCAATGGAGAACTCCCTCCAGAGGATTCCATGTCCTTCCAATAAGCTCTGAGATGGAGAGAAGCCTGGTGGTGAACTTGGGGAGCAAGGTAGGGGATCTCTTGGTGATAGTTCACAGCATCAAGAGACAGGCTCATTCTCCCAAGCCACATGGGCTGAGAGTGGGGGACCAGCACTGCCCATAATCTAGGTCAGTTTCCTCAATCCCTTCCCCTCTCTTCCTCCCTTTCTCTCTCCCTCCCCACTAGGCCGTGCTGCTGTAGCATTTCAGCTGATACTTAGAAAGCACGTACCAGCCGCTGGGCACTGTGCTGACCCTAGGAGTCTCGTGACACTCAACGCAGTCCCCACCCTTGAGGAACCTCTAATGGAGCCTCACTGACTAGAGCGTTCATTTGTGCACTGCTTTGTTTCATCCTAAACCACTGTGTTCCAGGATAGTTTACAATCTCCTCAACCAATGAATGATCTTCTACATTCCACACAAACTTTCTTGAAAGGAGGAATGTGTCTCATTTCATCTTGTCATTTCCCAGAGGGTCAGCCCAGCCCCACGCCTAGAACATAACATGCACTCAATTAAGATTTGTTGAATGCATGCATGAAGAAAACAAGTCAGTATAGATAGGTCACAACCATGCTACTTTGTCTTCAGGGGAAAGAAAAGTTGATTATTGGTACAGGCTATGAAACGTTAGTATCACTAACTGAACATTCTAAAAGTCACAGTATGCTGAAAGTATCCTCTGCTGACTTATTTTGCTTCCCCTCTCTTATGCTAGAATACTTAACCAGAACATAAGAGTTCCAGGTACATGGTATGCAAACGACAAACAGGAGAGAATTATCCAGGGTTCTGAGAGGATGGAGAGAATGATTTTTGGAGGAAAGACTCTCGGTCAAAACAAAAAAACTGCCAGGAAAACTTTTAATAATTGCAGAAACAAACAAGTTCTGCAAGATAACTGGCCATTGCATGACACTCGGCACAGTCCCTCTACTGCAATGTGAAGCAGCTCCAAGACAGGTAAATCAATCCCTTAATGTATTCCATGGAGAACAGACCTGTCTGGGACCTGGACGCTCAGGCAACCACCCTGACTGCTTTCCTTCCTGTGCAGCAACTGAATGTCTTGCCTCACTTTCCATTTCATAGCCAGTAGAGAAAATGCTTGATAGGTTCATTCTGCACAAGGGCATCTGTGAGGGCTGTCAGCTGCCAAAACTGCCACCTCCTGACATCACTGCGACCTCAGACTGACAGCCATGCTGTTCAATGGTTGAATAGCTCTGATAGGTGGGTTGTCACCCGAAGCCATATCCCTGCACCAAGTCCCTTCCAATCTGTGGGTAGTTGGGAGGCTCCTAGCTTGCAGGAGGTGAAAAAAACCAAGACATAGGCCTTGTATCACAGTTCATGCACTCTGACTGGGTCCACTCCAGGACTGGCTAGATATTGGGATGGCAAGTGGTCTTTCTAGGACCCCTCAAGAGGTGAATTACATGATATATTCTGGGGAGATTCAAAGAAAAACAATTTTTCCTGATACCCTCTTGTCAAGCTTACTCCTAAAACATCTTTGAGCTCCCCTACCTTGCGGCTGGGAGGCTCAGAGCCACCTCCCAAGAGCTGCCTTTGGTTCAGCATCAGATGTGGTCACCGGGCGCAGTGGCTCATAACTGTAATCCCAGCACTTTGGGTGGCCAAGGCGGGCAGATCACCTGAGGTCAGGAGTTCGAGACCAGCCTGACCAACATGGAGAAATCCCATCTCTACAAAATTAGCTGGGCATGGTGGCCTATGCCTGTAATCCCAGCTACTCAGGAGGCTGAGGCAGGAGAATTGCTTGAACCTGGGAGGCAGAGGTCGCAGTGAGCTGAGATCGTGCCTTGCACTTGAGCCTGGGCAACAAGAGTGAAACCCCACCTCAAAAAAAAAGAATCCAATGTGTTCTCGCCCTTAAAGCACAGGAGTGCAGGAGCACAAGGGGCTGAAGCTGCTTCTCCAGGGAGAAGCCACCATACAGCTTCTTGCCCCCTTACCGCATACTCGGAGCAGGAAAGGGGTCTGCCAGTGTGTTCCAGGCACAGCATAAGAGGCTGTGTCCCTACACATCTAAGAGTGTATTATCCTCTTTACAGGTGGCCTGGGCATCCTCTCGAATCACTCTGAATGGGAAATCCTGGCAGCTGAGGATCAATTATCAAGAGGGTACAAAATAAAGAAATATAAAATACTTTTGAAAATGAAATAAAGCTTTCATCTTCTGTTGGTACCATAGCCCCAAGGAGAGGAGGGGACGGGAAGGTTCCAGTATGTTATTTAGATCCAAAGATCTCAGGGACTTTGAGTATTTTTAAATAGAATTCACAAGACAGCCCCAAAGCCCAGATAAACAGCTCTTGAGGAAATGTCCCTCACCCATTCAAGAGTCGAGGTTATTGGAGAGGGACGGAAGAAATGTGTGTCATGGGAAAAACGTGTTGTGTCATGACAGCTGTCTCCCTGAACGCGCATTTTATTGGTGAATGTCCTTGGCAAGTCAAAGCATGAAGATGGCATCTGATCCTGCCGTGAGCATGGATGCCCTGCAGAAAACCATTCTGTCACAGCGACTGGCCACAGCATAGGCTCTCATGGGCCAGAAAAAGGGGTCGTGCAGAAAGGGAGTTGAGTTTACCTTTCCATGCCCACTCGGGAAAGTCTACTGAACCCCTGGGGAGTGTGGTTCTAGAGGTTTATCCACTTTGGCACTACTGACATTCTGAGCCAGATCATTCTGTTGTGGGCAGCTGCCCTGTACACTGCAGGATGTTAGCAGCACTTCCAGCCTCACACACTAGATGCTAGCAGCACCCTTCCCCGAAGCATAACCACCAAAAACGTCCCCAGATTTTGCAAAATCCCCAGCAGGAAAGGTGTCTGCCAGTATGTTCCAGGCACAGCAAAAGAGGCTGTGGCCCTACAAATCTAAGAGGGTATTTTCCTCTTTACAGGTGGACTGAGATCCTCTCAAATCACTCTGAATGGGAAATCCTGGCAGCAGCCCTGCCCCAGGTAGGGCAGAAAAATATCTCCAGTTACTGCAAACTCATCCCTGGTTCAGAACTACTGCTTTAGAGCAAGAAAAGCCTGGGAGAGCTCGTGCAGTCCTCTGCTGAAATGTCACCATAGCTCAGCCAACATTATTTGTCATCAGAAGCGCTTTACCCCCACCTGACAGAGGATATATTTGTTTTCTCTCTAGCTCCTTGACTAGACATTCAAGTCCTCAGGTGGAGTGACTTTGTTTCGGTCACTGTTGTAATGCCACTGCCTGGCACACAATTGGCACTCAATAAAAATCCACTGAGCACATGAAAGGGACTTGAGGACACAGTGCTAGATCCAATGCCAAATTGCTCACTTCTCACATATTCTAAAAGTTTAACATTTTAAAGTGCAACAACCATCACAATTAGTGGCAGTTGCAAAATATTAGGAGGGAGTCAACCAAATACCACCTGAATTACACACATCAATGCTGGGGGGAGGATGCATACGTGTATATAATAATATACATAACACATGTTTACAAATATGCATATAAGTATGGGTGTGTGTGTACCACTTCTCATTGCTATAAAAATAAACATTAAAAACCACAACCTAATTTTTGTAATCCCCCAAACAGTAACTAATATCACTTACTAAGCTTCAAGGGTGTTGTAAGGATAAGATAACATTTGTAAAATACACCGGCTTCCTCCCCTAAAAGGCATTACTAGATTACACAAAAGAACTATGACATCATCTCGAAAGGACTGCTGAGTGAGGTTCTATGGAAATCTAAAAGAGTTCAGATGCATCTTAAATCGTCACAGTTCTTGATTTTTGCAAACTAGCGCAGCCCATTAGGAAAGGAATGAAATCGATTTCCTTGGAAGCCCCACCCTGCCAATGAGCCATTTTGTATCCCTGAGCAGCCTGAATCTTTGTGAAACTTCCATATTTAAATGAGTTAGCCAGATCCCGAATCACAAAATGCCACACCTTAGGGAATGACCAAGAGGCATGGCAAGCTCATCGACCCTGCAGGAGAGCAGTGTGGTTAAGAGTTCAGCTTCTGGAGCCAGATGGCCTAGGTTAGAATCCCAAGAAATGCTGGGCAAGTTACTTAATTTCTGTGTCTCAGTTGCCTCCTCAGCAAAGTGGTATAATAACACTACCTATCTCATAGGGTTGTTGTAAGGGTTAAATGATAAAATGCACATAAAACACTTATTAAGAATTCAGATTTCAATATGAAAGGTCAGGGTAATTGAACTCACACTTTGCAGATTACTGTTTCCTCTCCTCTACCACTAAAAATAACAAAGCTGAAGTCAAGATGTGCTCTTGGGTTATGAAGTTTCATGATAGAAGCCAGACAGAGGACAAATTGTTCCTTCTTTTACTTCAGAAGGTGAATACTCCCCCCAACCCTTAAAACAAATCTGAGCACAGATCACCCTCAAGATATTTTAGGTGAGAAGTGAAGGAAAGTTAAAATTTGGTAAAACCTCGATCACAGTGGTACCTTATGTTTTCAACGCCTTGAGGGCACCCTCAAGTTGGGAAACACTGGACTATTGCTAGTACAGACTGACTAAAAAGAGCTTCAAAGAATCCTCTTTTCTCTACCACTAGGCTGGTAGTTCTTGTATATGACGTTCTTCCACTTGAATTTTTGCAGCAAATAAAAGCTGTCATTCCTCTCTATAATGACTGGCTGAAAAAAAGAAGTTGATGGGATTTGTGTGTTCATGCACAGGTCCATACATGTGTACATGTGCCTCTTGTGTGTGTCTGTGCATATGTACGCATGCATGCACAGACAAAATCCCTTCAGCTTTTTTTTCCTCCTCAGCACGTGTGCATGTATGTGTGTGCATGTATGTGTGTGCATGCATGGATATGTGTGTAATTAAAGAAAAGGGTAAGGCTTAGACATGCTGGTTATTTAATAATTTAGTTCTATGCACAATTTAAACCGATAAGCAAAAATTACCTAGATTTCTTAACTTTAGATGTCTCAATATAGGAAATTCTAGTGAAGGTTTTAAGATACTGGCTCTGCCCAATCAAACACAGACAGCAATTATCAGAGACAGCATGCACCCTGAGACATACAAATGCACCCCCAATAACTCATCCATCTTGTTAATACCCTGTATCTCCAGATCCATAGGGAAAAATATAAATCAGTAAATCTCTCCCATTAACACCTTAGAGGCTAATCTTTAAGGGCTTTTCTGTACCTGTCATAGGTACTACAGATTGTTCCTGATTGGACTGTTCTGTATACTAAGAATGAATGGATGAATAGGTAAATATGTAAATAATTGTACTCCTTGTGATAACAAAAAGATATTTTTATCATTCTAGCTATCTAAATAAGCTACAGAAATCAATGTTGACCTAAATAAATCATAGCCAAATGACAATAAGATAATGGAGTTAAGAGAGATGAAAACGTACATGCTTATCTCTGTATCTTCTTTTAATTGGGCTCTCATAGGAATTGTGCAAATCAGTGACCTCACCCATTCACTGGAGTAATGGCAGTTTTCACCTCTTAATCTTGCTGCTACTGAAAAGTGAAGGAGGCCGTTGAAGAAGAAAAAGACAAAAAAGTGAGGGAGCTAGGAACATTTACAGAGCATATATAGGGTGAACGCAAGTTTGCCAGTCAACGTTTTGTAATGTTGGTGATTTCTTAAAATTGTCCACTAGGCTTCACCAATACCATTTATAAGGTCTACCTCAGTCTGTATTAAACATTTTGGACATTGTAGGTACAATATGATCATTTTGGTTGGCAGAATTTATTGGTAAGAAGGGGATACATTGTAGGTACATGGCATTGTTTAAATACTTTGTGAGTATATTATCCAGGGAAGACTAACTGCTATAACAAACAACTCCAAAATCTCAGTGACCTCATCATGATAAAATTGGACTTCCTGTTTATGTACCAATCTAAACAGGCTGCTTCAAGAAGCCACACTCCTGGGTGGCTCTCCTCTAAGCCACAAGGCAGGGACCCAAGATCTTTCCATCTACTGGCTCTGTCATCTCAAAGGGCAATATTTCTCAAATGTTAATGAGCATAGGTATTACCTGGGAATCTTGGTAAAATGCAGATTCGGATTCCCTACACCTAGGAGAAGGTTAAAGATTCTGCATTCCTAAAGAGTTCTCAGGTGGTGCCCATGTGCCCCTATACTCTGCATCTCATAGGCAGAAGAAAAGGAGAAAGAGTAGATGATTGGACAAGAATATATCACCTCCACTAGCATCCCATTGGCCAGTCTCAGTCACATGGCCACAGCCATCTGTAAGGGATGCTGGGAAATGTAGGCCAGCTACGTGCCCAGGAGGAAAAAGTTTTAACAGTCACTCTCTGCCACGATAAGAAAAGAAACAATAAACTAAAGAGATTTCAGACATCTAAATCATTACTCCTTCCTACTTGTAAGCTCAGATCAGATTTATTCAAGAGCAAGATGCACCACCACCCTAAGTAAGCCACTGTTTCTGTTGAAACACTAAAGCCATGGTCTGAAGCATTCACCATAAATTCTTAAAGCCATCATACAGCAACATACTATCCACAATAATTTCTTAAGGGAGTCATAAGGGACTCTCTAAAAGTTTCCTTCTCTAGAGATTAGATTAGTGAATTTTCTTCTTAGAAGACATCCGTATTGTAATTCCACAGAGCTTACATTAACCCCTAACACACATAGCACTTTTTATACCCTTTGAATCAAAAAACGTATTCCTGAGCCTACATCATTACTCCACCCGAAGAATCAATTATCAAAGATGAATGTACTCTACAAACCAAGGGGAAGGGGAGTGAAAAGTCTCCCTCTCTCTGTAGAAAAATTGCTTAGTGATTAGATTCTGTTTCACCCAAAGAATAACAGCTTCTTGAAAGATACATGTCAATACAGAACAATTTTACTTTCTGTGCCTGGTTATATTGATTCAAAAGCGGTGGTGGTGGCAGTGGCAGTGGGGGTGGGCAGGTGGAAGGTGAGGAAGACTATCTTCTTGCCTTGGGCAAAACCCAGAAGTAGGCAAAGGAGAGAGATTTGGAGTCATTTAGCCATGACAGAGTGAGACCAAATAGACTATAAATATCACCTTAAAGCAAAACCACCCTGGGGCAAGAAAGGCTCCTGCCTGGGACTCCACGCTTTAGAGGGCTCTGCTCTAGCTCCTCCTCCTCACAGGGCAAGGGGTCCAAGGTAGCAGGAGATGTGTCCTAGCAGAGCCGTACTTCTCCCTTCTAGAGCAGCGCTGTTCCACAGAAATGTTATGGGAGCCACAAATGGAAGCTACACATAGAACTTTAAACTTGTTAGTAGCTATATTAGAAAAAAACAGTTAGAACTAATTTAATTATATATTTTATTTAACCCAATAGTATATCCAAAACACTACCGTGTCAGCACATAATCAACATAAAAATTATTGATGAGATATCTTACGCCCTTTATTTTTTGTATTAAGTCTTCGAAATTGGTTGTGTACTTTACATTTAAGGAACATCTCGACCAGTGCTCTGGAGCCAATGTGCGGCTGCTGTGCTGCCCAGCACAGTTCTAGACCATGCTCTGGGTCACAGGACCCTGGGATTCCCCGCCATCAGGATTCCACGTCCACTCTCAGGGCCTGAAGGAGCCTTTCCTGAGCCTACATTCCTAATGGTAGACCTTGCCACATTCCGAGGCCTGTGGGGGACCATCTGTTTGAGGGGTGTTTACGTGGATCCTCGACATGTAGGCTGGGTCACCTGAGTGTGCACCAGGTGCTGCATGAAAGGGATGGGGCAGGGATGGAAAAAGAAGGGGAGTAGAATGCAGGCCTGGAGATAGCTCTCCTGACCCCATGAACTGGCTCCAACCTTGAAAGCATTTGAGAATTTTTAATTCTTTTAACTATTTAGCCATAGAGTATTAGGTAATAAAAATGTCTTAGTAAATAGTGACTGCTGGGATCCCCTAGGGTTCTCCGCAATTACTGCTCAGCCCCTCTTCCCAGAATCCCCACCAGAGACCTCCCCACTATTCAGCAACTGATGGGTTAACCAGGCACAGCAAGGACTTCTAGGCAGGTGCTCCAATAGGGCCAGAGTAATTGATTGACATGCCCTCTGTACAGAGGCTGCTCATTATTCCAACTCTCACCCCCAGCTATTTAATATTAGCTATTATATTTGATATATTCTGACTCACTTCTCCTGGTGATAATGTTTTTATTTGCCTACAATATGCAAATGGCCTTTTATTTCATGTTGCTTGTTAATTAAATTTTTGGAGTAAGTGTTCTATTTTAGCACTATGTTATGCCCTAAAGCTTTGATAGTAATAATCATGGGTGGGGTAAGGAAAGGTAAAATAAGAAGATCAAAAAGTATTATCTGGCACACAGCAAAGTTTCCTTTCAGAGAACTGTTATGTAGAAATACAGACTACATTAATATTAAATGTTCAGATGGTATGGAGGAAAGAGTCTATGATGGTCTCCAAAGATCCCATCTCTTGGTGTTTACGTGCTTGTGTAATACACACCCTCCTGAATGTATGTGGGTGGGTGCTGTAACTTGCTTCTAACCAATGGAATATGACAAAGATAATGAGATGTCACTTCAGTGATTCCATTATATATAATTGTGACTTCTGTCTTGCCAGTAGAGTCTCTCCCTCACTGACTTAGATGCTTCAATTTGCCCTAATGGGCAGGCCCATCTGTCAAGGAACCAAGGGTGATCTCTGGCCCACAGTCAGCTAGGAGCTGAGGCCCCCCAGTCCAACCGTCCTAAGGGAACTGAATTCTACCAACAACTGCATAAACAAGCTCAAATGTGGATCCTTCCCCAGTTGAGCTTTCAGATAGGACCTAATCCTGGGTAATACTTGAGCGTAGCCTCATCAGAGACTCGAAAGCAGGGAACTGGTATGAAAAAAAAATGACTTATTTGAAATTTACAACTGGGCTAGTAAGGGATTAAAATAGGTTGAATTACTGAACCGAAAATAGTGCCCAATATTTAAAACAATACCTGGCAAAAACACACATGAAATGATTTGGTGAACAAGTGAGAGAATGAGAATTAAATTAGTTCAGCTACCAGTCCTCAAAAATTGCCATGAAAAATTAGGCAGTGAAAACACTCACAATATAGTGAGTACGTTTGACAGAGAAGAAAATAGAATGGTGGTAGTCTGGCGATTGATCATTACCCTCCACCAGCTGTGTTATATCTTCTGAGATCAATAGGTCTATAAAAAAGTACGTTTTGTTCCTTAGAACATTTTCAAATTGTGAGATGGAACCACTCCTTCCAATTATTCTTTGACCTCAAACAAGAAGGTCTCCTATGCTTCCTTACTTAGATTTCTCAAACCTCCCTCCATCCTTGGTCTATTTCTAAAGTCTAACACAGACAGACCTCAGTAGTACACCTGGCTAGCTGGTGTCACCATATAATGAGATCTTCTCCATCTAGAAAATTCCTGAATTCAGAAGCTCCTGAGTATGTGAAACAACACAGTTCCCTATTTTCTTTGTCATATAAATGTTCTAGTCTGTATTCAGCATTAATTTTGCTTTGTCATAGAAATTTTCTTTGTCATATAAATTTACTAGTCTGTATTCAGGATTAATTTTGGAAAAATAATTACATAAAGGAATTCATGAATCTAACAAAAAATGGGAGCTTTTCAATTTCTATTTACCTATATATTTTTAAAAATAAGACATATAGTAAAACAAAACTGCAACTAAAGTGGAGATTTTGAAGGCAGGAAGATAATGGAAGTAGCAGAGAAGAAAGACGTCTATGACCATCAGTAAAAACCAGTAAGGAATAACAAAGTCAGTCTGTGTGTGTGTGTGTGTGTGTGTGTGTGTGTGTGTGTGTGTGTGTCTCAAAAATGGGACTAGAAGGGATGGTTTGAAGGGATTTGCATAGGAAAGATAAATTTTACAACATTCAGATACATATTATCAATTAACTCTAAGATATCTTAGAATCTGTTACCTATGCTGTTTTGGTAAATTCAGTAATATGAGTACTTTATACAAAGGTATTTTCTAGAATGTATGACAGAATTTTATCAGTGCATTGTTATATTTAACACAGCAAGAATTGCTTGAAAGGGTTTTAACTTGCAGAATAAACACATGTCCACAGAGAACAGGACCATTTTGGATTACAGAGTTCTGGAGAAACAGGCACAATAAAGAATGATTCCGAGCAAAAACACTGACAGGAAGAGGCAATCTTAGTGTTTGGTTGCCTGGTCTCTTCAAACACATGGCACATCACAACACATTTGTTCTTTTCAGCAATATTTTCAGAAAACGACGTGCTGGCATTTGTAAACATTTTGCTTGGGTGGAAAGATGTCCAAGCACAAAGCAAACTGTAAAAATCCATGCAGTGTATTTTGCCAGAATAAACCACTAGACCACAACAAATAAACGCAAAGCCCCCAAGGAATCCCAGCAATGCGCTTTTGAATTGTGAGCTAGGAGAAAGATGTTGGCTATACAGCATAACTGCTTGCAGCTAAGGTGGTAGGAGAACACGCTGCTCATTATAGGCGATGCCACTTAGGAAACTAACTCTGCACATCATCCTTCCTCATGATGATGCAACTACTGCACTGCTTTGTTTCTCCTTGACAGATTCTGTTCCCCACAAGCAAATCCACCTGTTGGGTAGATGTTCTCCGGAGATTCTTCCTTGCATCCCTGGCTGGTGTAAAGACGCTGCATGGGCATCTCATAATCACTGCACATACGCATTATGCTGACTTTTCTGTGTCTGTGCCTGACTCATGTTCTAGACGTGGTGAGCAATTCAAAGTGAGAGCCCTGGATTCTTTGCTTCTCTATTCCTAGCAGGGTTCCTGGCTCTTTCTTGGAATTCCCAAAGTATCAGCTGAGCTACCAATGAAGTAAGTGCCCCTTAGACAGAAGAGGAGGACCTTTCATGAGCTCCAACCTTCCTGGTCTCACCTCCACCCTGACTGGTTGCTGAAGCCATGTCTGCTTCTTTAGAAGTTTGCAAATTTACCCTGATTTTATAAATAGAAAAAAATGACGGCAGGCACAGTCAGCCATCACCTTTGTCAAGTCTGCGGAAAAATAACTCTAAATGTTTTACCATTTGTTAAAACTCTAGAATAAAATTATGATTATAAATTTAAGTCAGTCGCTGTTTATTCAAAATGTACCTCCACTAGTTAAGCGTTATCACCATTCAGCTCAAGATAGCCAACAAAAAGGAAGGAAGAGAGAGAAGGGGAGGGGAGGGCAAAGTCATGACATTTCCCACTTCTGAAAATAACACTGGTTTTGAGTCACATAACTGCACCCTGCCACTTCATAGTTGTCTGAGCTTCTTGCTGTTATTCTAAGGTTTCATTTCCTCATTATAAAATGGAAAATAATCCCCATATCAATGGGTTGTGGCGAAGATTCCATGAGGTGATTCCCTTAAGATGTTTGACACAGAGAAGATCTCCAACAACAAACTCCAGGGCCATTTCTCTCCCTCCTCACTCATCCTTGCTTCCTTTCTCCGCCCGACCTCATGGCTGGCCAGGCAGGGCTGCCGTGAACATCTAAAGAGTGGCCAGATGAAATATTCCAACTGAGCTCCACTTCACAGGGTAAGTGAAACAAGCAACCTGCAAATCAAAGACTTTGTTGTCTTTTTACCACTGTAGAGCAGTACAGTTCTGAAACTTTGTCCCTGGAAGGCAGAGATGCCTTCCCTCTCCTGGGTTCTCCTTGAGTGTCATAAGAAAATCCCTTTGCATAAAAGAAAACAAAATGCTACAACTAACAGGACAGCTGTAGACAAGTGGGTGAGGCACGGCAGACTGGTAGAGGGCAGGTTAAACAATCCCCTTGCTGGCTAAAACACATTATTTCCCCCACAAAACCTTCTTAGGTGACTAACCACCAAAAAGTCGAACCTTTTCATTTTATTCACCATTCCCTTTGCATACCTTCCTCTTGCCACCCCTCCCAAAAAAGATTCATACTTGAACAGAAACATTCTCCTTCCATAACCTCACAGCAGGGATTTCAAAGCTTCCACAACTGCATTTTTTTTTTTTTTTTTGAGATGGAGTCTCACTCTGTTGCCCAGGCTGGAGTGCAGTGGTGCAATCTTGGCTCACTGCAACCATTGCCTCCCAGATTCAAGTGATTCTCCTACCTCAGCCTCCTGAGTAGTTGCGATTACAGGTGAGTGCCACCACACCTGGCTAATTTTTGTATTTTTAGTGGAGATGGGGTTTCACCACGTTGGCCAGGCTGGTCTCGAACGCCTGACCTCGTGATCCGCCCACCTCAGCCTCCCAAAGTACTGGGATTACAGGCGTGAGCCACTGCACCCAGCCTCACAACTCCATTTTTTACTGACAAATCCCAAGTGTCTCTTGTCTGGGTTTTCCCCCATGTTTTCCGGTCTGCTAAGTGTTGCTATTTATGCATTTATTTTCAATGGCTCAGGCCAAAGCCTCACCAATCTCACACACTCTTGAGAGTCCGGTACCTGCCTCAAAATTTCTGTGGATTCCTAGTAGGTTTACCATCTCCATCACTGGTTGACTGTGACTTGTTGGTCCCACTGAATTATCAACCTCATTGGCATTTCATTTCCTGTAGTCATTCTCTTTTACCAACCACCTCATAAGCTAATGTGGAAACAATTAGAGTTTTAATTTCCCAGAAAGGAGGCTCTAACAGGTACAGTAGTCTTATAAAGATTTTATTTTATTTTTATTATTTTTTAATTTTTTATTTCCATTGGTTTTTGGGAAACAGGTGGTATTTGGTTACATGAGTAAGTATTTTAGTGGTGATTTGTGAGACCGTGGTGCATCCATCACCTGAGCAGTATACACTGAACCCAATTTGTAGTCTTTTATTCCTCACCCACCTCCCATTCTTTCTCCCAAGTCCCCGAAGTTCATTGTATTATTCTTATGCCTTTGCATCCTCATAGCTTAGCTCCCACTTATGAGTGAGAACATATGATGTTTGGGTTTCCATTCCTGAGTTACTTCACTTAGAATAATGGTCTCCAGTTCCATCCAGGTTGCTGCAAATGCCATTATTCATTCCTTTTTATGGCTGTGTGGTGTTCCATCATATATATATACACACATATGTATATGTATATATATGTGTGTGTGTGTATATATATATGTGTATCTCACAGTGTCTTTATCCACTCATTGATTGATGGGCATTTGGACTGGTTACATATTTTTGCAATTGCGAATTGTGCTGCCATAAATATGCATATACAAGTATCTTTTTCGTATAATGACTTCTTTTCCTCTCGGTAGATACCCAGTAGTTATGCAAAGGTTTTAGAAAGTGTGGCAGATAGAGGTTACGAAATAGCAAAGCTCAATAACATGAGACATCGCTGTCTTACAGTTGCCTGGCCCCACTCCCATCCTACCTCAGGGACCATCTCCTGGACTGGCCTCCTTAGCCCCAACTCCAGACATCACATGCCCAACCCCATCATCCTTGTCAGAGCTCACCCTACTTCTTTCTACTCCCCAGAACTCATGAAATTCCTCTGGTTTCATTTTGCAGAGTGGTTTAGCCTTATCTTTGCTGTGAAAATCCTTCCAGATGGCCCAGCAGGGAATAGAGGTGGGTCAGGGTCCACTCTTTTCACACTCCAAGAAGCCCAGCAAAGGTATTTTTCTAAACACAGAGCTGAAATAAATCCAACCTTTCCCTCCAGTGAGTAAAAGAGCAATCATTTCTTTTTTTCCTCATATAGTTTTTTTTTTTCTGCTGTACTAATTAGGTATTTTACGCTAGTTAATGTAAATGAGCAATGTCAAATGCAAACAAGTGCAAATTATTGGCTATGTCATAGTCAAAGTTTTCATTCTTGGAATTTTGAGAAAGAATTCACATCACTTAAATTTCATAGCAGAATTCTGTTCTACTATTAATCTTGCCCTTGCGTATATTACAAGAACACAGAGGACTAGATGAGAGGAAGAACAGAAGAGATGAAATGATTTGAAGTCAAATACCCTGGATAGACTCCTCTTCCCGTGGGTTTCCCACAGAACTTAAGAACAAGAAGAAAACAAAGAAAATAGAAGCACCATTATACAATATAAAAGACAACTCAAACTTAGCTTTTTCTCATCTGTTATCCAGCACTCTAGTTGATGGATGTGTCCAGTTTAATGCAAGCAAGCCTGGCTGTAAACAGAATTGACATGAAAGGCATTGTTACTCCACACTCCTGTAGTTCAGCAACTTGCTAAGGTTGTAGAAAGAGGGCCCAGAATTACGTTAGAAACTTCATAGAAACAGAATATTTCAGTAATAACCTCACCACAGTGTCTGTTTTGAGCCCCCTAGCTCATGGCACCTGTGTGGAAAATTCCACCCCGCCTCATCCAAGACTGGCTCTGGGGTCATCACTGAGTAATGAGGAAATGGTACCACGAGAGGTCAGAAGGAGATTCGCACAGATTCTTCCACACCCCATTGTGAAACTTAGAATATTTCCTCAACGCAAGCAAAAGTCTGTGCCTATTACCATCACCTCCTCTTTATTGCTTTTTTTTATTATTATACTTTAAAGTTCTGGGATACATGTGCAGAACATGCAGGTTTCTTACATAGGTATACACGTGCCATGGTGGTTTGGTGCACCCATCAACCCGTCATCTACATTAGGTATTTCTTCTAATGCTATCCCTCCTGTAGCTCCCCAGCCCCCAACAGGCCCTGGTATGTGATGTTCCCCTCCTTGTGCTCATGTGTTCTCATTGTTCAACTTATGAGTGAGAACATGCGGTGTTTGGTTTTCTGTTCTCGCGTTAGTTTGCTGAGAATGATGGTTTCCAGCTTCATCCAAGTCTCTGCAAAGGACACGAACTCATCCTCTTTTATGGCTGCATAGCATTCCATGGTGTATATGTGCCACATTTTCTTTATCCAGTCTATCATTGATGTGCATTTGGATTGGTTCCAAGTCTTCACTATTGTGAATAGTGCCACAATAAACATGCATTTTTGTAATCTTAAGTGCTTGGATTCTATAAATTCTAAAAAGTAGGTGGTTGTATTAGTTTGGTAGGGCTATCATAATAAAATACCACAGACTGTGTGACTTAAGCAACAGAAATTTATTTTCTCACAGTCCTGGAGGGCTGGAAGTTCAAAGTCAAGGTGTCAGCACGGTTAGTCTCTGAAAGGGCTCTTTTTATGGCTTGTAAATGTCTTCACATGTTCTTTCCTCCATGCATGTGCATCCCTTGTATCTCTCCATGTGGCCAAATGTTTTCTTCTTGTAAAGACAACAACCATATTGGATTAGGACCCATCCCAAAGGCCTCATTTTCACTTTAACTTAATCACCTTTTGAAAGACTGTATCTCCAAATACAGTCACATTCTGAGATACTGGGGGTTAGGACTTCAACATAGGAATTTTAGGGGAACACAATTCAGCCCATCACAGTGGTCAAGGTAAATAACTCACCAATGGGACTGAGTTTTTCTCCACTTAATATCACTTCCATTCATTCTTGCCACACGCAATTAAACGACAAAGATCACGTGTGAATCAAATAGTAGTCCTCTCCTATGACATTTGATGACTTTTTTACATATTTATTGGCTTCCAATTTCACAGGTTGATTTGATTATGAGGGAAAAAAGAAGTAATTGTAGTTCTGCCTTCAAAAAGCACACTGGATTTGTTAAAATCATTTTTATTCTCCCACCTGAATTCAATGTGTTTTAAGACATAACATGGGCATTTCCAGTTGCCCAGGGAAGAGGTTTAGCTTATATCTACATTTATGATTTGATCGAACAACATTTACTATTTATTGGGCACCTACTATTTTCCAGGCAATATTGAGCCATTTAGTACAAAGTTAAGTAGATACTGGTGCTCACCCATAAAGTAGCTCACAATCTAATCGGTAAAAGACACAGGTGTAAAGAACTGTAATTTATTATGATAAAAATAATTTTGTAAAGTACCTTAAGTTGAACTTAAAATCTTGAAATTATAAAAACTGGTCAACCTTACAGATATTTGCAAAGTTTCAAATTGGCAAGACGTAGTCATGTTAATAATATCTTCCTCCAAGAGTGCCTCATCACTAAGAGAATAGAGATTTCTCCCCATTTATTTTTGGTGTCCATGCTTGACGATGCAATAAGGATCCCCACTCTGGAGAATAGGGAGAAACTTCTATTCAGTGCAGTGTTCTGAGTGTTTCATTAGGAGCCATAGGAAAAAAAAATCACAGGCCATATGTGGAGCACTGGAAACACATCATAAAACCCACACATGGAGATCACTTGGCAGTGCTGGCACATGACTGGGAAATCTGAGGCAACTAAATTCCACCAGTACGATCTAGGAAAACATCACATTCAAAGACTGCCTTTAGCATCAAATGGCCAAGAAGGGTTCAAAGTTCAGCCACCTGAACAAGATCACAATCTGGATGTCAGTCAGATCACAATTGACTGAGAGGCCAAGAGGCAAAGTTCTGCTTTGAGGTCCTTCTCATCCAGCGTTTGCCTCTTTCATTGTTTCTCTTCTCCAGATGCCTTACTCTTTGGAGCGCCTACCCTCACACTCTGCCCGGAGGCCATCCCACAGTAGCCCACACTCTGGCCCTCCTTCCTGGGGAAAATCCTATATTTTTGGAATTCTTGTTCTTTACCGATAGATGTTCTGAATAACACTGCCATATGCCCTGAGATGGTTCGCATAATGTCTTAGAGCCTCAGTCTCTTCATCTGTAAAATGTAACTAACTCCTTCTACTCCACAGGGCTGCTACAAGGGCAAAGAAGAAAGCAGATAGGAATGTGCTTCGTAGTTTGTTAAATAGTTTAACAACAACAATAGCAGCTAACATTTATTGAAAGCCAACCACAGACAAGACACTACTCTAAGCACTATATTAGGTATTAGCTCATTCACCTTCTAAAGAATCATGAGGTAAATGCTATTGTTATGCTGCTTGTTCAGATGAAGGAAGAATCACAGGTGGGTTAAGTAACTTGCTGAATGCCACACAGAAAGAAAAGGGTGGAGCTGAGATTTCAACCCAGGCAGAAAGCTCTAGAGCCCTTGCTATTCCCTGCAATGTTATACCGGATATTCTAAATAGGCTGCTCTATGTCCCAAATCTTAGGTTCCCTAAGTAGTTGTCATATATCAGTACTTTTACGTAGTTTGGTAAATGAATTCATCCAGTATTTCACTGGCTCTATTATTACCCCTCTTACATAAAAAGAGTGCATGTTTACGGAAATTATCTTGAAACATTACTTGATTCAACCAAGCAATTCTAGTGATGATATAACAGGTACCAGGAGGTGACGAACATAATTTGGGGGAGATGGTGGGTGGAGAAGGGGGTTGCTGGGTCTTGAAATACCCCTTAAAATATCCTGTAATTACCTAAGTGTAAAGCCCCCAAAAGAGAAAGTCTTCAAAAAGACTGGCTGTTATGGACTGAATTGTATCCCCTCAAAAAATTATATGTGGAAGTCCTAACCCCAGTATCTCACATATGACCATCTTTGGAGACAGGATCTTTTCAGAGGTAATTAAGTTAAAATGCAGTCATTAGGGTGGGCCCTAATCCAATATGACTGGTGTCCTCACGAGAAGAAGAAATTCGGACACAAAGAGAGATGATGACATGAAGAGACAGGGAAGAGGGTGACCATCTACAAGCCAAGGAGGAAGGCCTGGAATAGACCCTGCCCTCGCGGCCCTGAGGAGGGACCAGCCCTACCGATGCCTTTCATTCTCAGGCTTCCCACCTACAGAACTATGAGAAAATATATTTCTGTTGTTGAAGCCACCCAGTCTGTGCTATTTTTTTATGGCAACTCTCGCAAACTGATACACTGGTCAGGAGAAGATGGTATCCTTGGGGCACCAGGTCTCAGAGAAACTAAAAGAATGGACAAAGTGCGGGGCTAAGGGAGGGATAGCATTAGGAGAAATACCTAATGTAGATGGCAGGTTGATGGGTGCAGCAAACCACCATGGCACATGTATACCTATGTAACAAACCTGCACGTTCTGCACATGTATCCCAGAATGTAAAGTATAAAAAAAGAAAAAGAAAAAAAAAGAATGAACAAAGGAATGGTGGTCCTGCATCTTTACACTCACTTACATTGTTCCCCTTACTCTTCCCAACAAGCCAGTGGTTAAGTATTAATATTATTATCCTCACCCACACATGACTGCCAAGTGCATTTTCCCAAAATACCTCTCTCAGCATGTGGCCCGCCTGTCCGAAAACCTCCAGCAGCTCCCCCACTGCCTCCAGGAAAATGTTCGAATTTCTTCCAAGTGGTCCTGAAAATATCTTGTAATTTATAAGCCAGAGAACAAACATCTTATCACAGCAGTACACGCCCACAGAATTGTGGAGAAGGAAACCTGGGAAATCATCTCTCAGAAAAAGGAGGAAAATTCTTCAGCCACACATAGCACCTCTGCTGCTACTGGTAGTCAAGGGACATGCAACAGGTTTTCTACACAAGAGACTTTCCCTAGTTTCAAGCGAGTAACAGACATGTCCACCGAGGAACCCAAATGTTCTGAACTTCTGGGGCTAGAAAACCTGAACTACATCCCCGTTTCCATTGGCCAGACATCTAACACTCTCCACGGAATCATTTGCTTCTTGTTCCTAGGAGTCCACTTTGAGGTGAGCCCTGAATGCCTTGGTGCAGGACTTAAATTGCATCTTCTTTCCTGCTGAGGCACAATGTTCAAATGTTATTTTTCTCTAAGGAACCCAGAGAGAGTTCTTTAGAGACATCACCTAATTCAACACTTCCTATATTAGACCTAAAGGGTATGATCAACCTGGGTTTGGGAGATTGAATCACTTTCACAAGAAGAGAAGGTGAAGAACAGCTTCACTTTTCCAGGTGGTCCTAATGACTCACCTGATAATGACAACAGATTCAGAGCCAGCCTCCCCATCCAGACCTCCTGGTTCCAAACCTGCCAGTCTCTGATTGTCTCAGTCTTGGTTGGCATGAAAACTCCTGTCGGTTTTCCTGCAGGGCCAGACTTAAGCCGGGAGAAGCCAACCAGAAGGCAGGCTCTGGAGTCAGCCTGGCTGTCCCTGACAGTGCCCAGCCCAGTGTGGGCACGCCAATCAGGCTGCAGCCTTTGCCTTTAACCACAGCTTGTGGACATGGCCCATACCACTAGCTTTTTGTTCAACTTCCTTACTTGATTGTTTCCTGCTGAAATAGCAGATCTCATCTTATTTGCTAGAGAACTATCAATCTGCCCAATCTTTGCCATCAATCTAACTCTTAGCAGACACATCTTGTCCCTGGACACTCATCAACCTGATCAGTAAACATTTCCCCTGAAACTCCTGCTACCACCAAATCAGACCTCAAAGGTGAACGTATGAACATGTATCACAACTCTGTTTTATAAACACCCCTTGGCCACCACTATTTTTTTTTTTTTTTTTTTTTTTTTGAGATGGAGTCTCACCCTGTCACCCAGGCTGGAGTGCAGTGGCAGCCAAGTGGGATCTTGGCTCACTGCAACCTCTGCCTCCTGGGTTCAAGTGATTCTCCTGCCTCAGCTTCCCAAGTAGCTGGGATTACAGGCCCGTGCCACCACGCCCAGCTAATTTTTTGTATCTTTAGTAGAGACAAGGTTTCACCATGTTGGCCAGGCTGTTCTCGAACTCTTGACCTCATGATCCTCCTGCCTCAGCCTCCCAAATGCTGGGATCACAGGCGTAAGCCACTGCGCCCAGCCAGCCAGCACTATTTTGCCCATACTCCTTGCTGACCAGCCCCTTCAGACCCCGGTTTGCAAGGCCACCCACCTGCTCATTGGAATTACTCAGGTAGACTGTAAAATTCCAGATGCCCAGGCTGCACCCCAGATCCATTAGAATTTCCAAGAGCGGAACCCAAGTGTCAGTATTTTTTAAAAGTCTACAGGTGATTCTAATCTGCAGACAAGCCTGAGAGCAACTGCTCCAGGCCGTTTTCCCAGTTGAACCTCATTTTCTCACTGGCATAGAGCTGAGGTCCCAGCCTAGTACAGATATGCACCTAGGTCAGTAATGACAATACCAGAAAAGAATACTGAAGCCAGAGAATGAAGATAAAGTGGTCCCCAGCCACCACAGTAGATGTGATGATTCAAACAGCTGATATTAGAAGGGGAAATTGCCAATTGTTTGGCATTTGCCACTGTGTTGTTAAAAGTGGGTCAGAGCTTCATGTCATATTTTTAAAAATGGCTTACAGTGAATCATAATTGGTAATCAGAAAATCCATCATAAACGTAAAGAATCCAAACCACTAATAATTAAGGTCAGAAATCAAAGTAAACCTCCACTACAGCCCAGCTCATTAATGTGGGTTTCATGACACTTTGGTAACAGGTCATTTCTCCTGAAATGACACAATTGCATTGAGTAACCACGTATGATATTACTAATCTGCATTGTGGGTGGTTAGTTCTGGAAGTCATATCCTGGGTGGGAGGTTGAATAAGCTGGCCTTTAAGGTCATCTTGAGTTCTG
The DNA here is from genome assembly GCF_000001405.40 of Homo sapiens. NCBI lineage: Eukaryota > Metazoa > Chordata > Mammalia > Primates > Hominidae > Homo > Homo sapiens. Next base: position 72,155,387 of record NC_000014.9, on the reverse strand, counting down.
ACAAGTCTTTGATTCCAGGTAACAAGCCCTCAGGGTACTCAGGAATGGTGGAGGAAATTATCTGATGTTAACCTCGGCCACTGTTCTGCTCCGCAGAGCTCAGCCAAACCAGGGAACAGGATGCCCTACTGTTCAGACAATGTCACAGTTTGGATTTGGCATGGCTGCAAGACCTGAGCTAACCAGAGACAAGAATCCGGGTTCCAGAAAGCCCAGCTGTGACTCAAAGTGACAGGCAGGAGTCCTGTGTGGGTGACAGGGGACCCTGCACTCTGGAGGGAATGATACATTTTTTCTGCCTTATTTACTGGCTTTCCAGAAAGCCAGCAATGAGGCATGCAGGGTGAACCACCTAACGGTGAAATTGTTTACTTCACTCTGGATCACCTTCATACGGAGGACTGAATTCTCTCAGGGATTCATTACCGCCCGCTCCTAAATGGTGCCTGCAGGGCATCACTGGGGTTTGTTTTTCTTAGCATGCTGCTTGGGAACATGGTCATGCTGTTGTAACTCATCAAGGTCCCCTTGAGGGAACAAGCCTCATTAGGGAATACTGATGGGGAAAAGATGTGGGGTTTTCCCACTTACTGGGGAAAACGGCAATCAGAGCAAACAACAGAACCACTGGGGACAGGCATTTGCAAAAAATAAGGAAGGCTAAAGGAACACTGAGTATCATTTATCTATTTAGAAAGAGACGATTTGGAAACTTGCTTTCACGTCAGTTGGCTGGAGCCTGATGCCGTGGCCAAAGTCAGACATTAGATCCCCATGCAGCCTGGTTAGCACCATGCAGGGAGATCAAACTGTGAACACAAACTACTGCCCTTACCCTGATTAAGTGGTCCCCAGCTGTTGGAAGTCAGGGACCCCCCCCAAACAGAGGGACTGGCTGGAGCCACAGCAGAGGAACATAAATTGTGAAGATTTCATTTTAATATGGACATGTATCAGTTCCCAAATTAATACTTTTATAATTCATACCTGTCTTTACTTTAATCTCTTAATACCGTTATCTTCATAAGCTGAGGAGGTACATCACCTCAGGATCACTGTGATAATTGTGTTAACTGCACAAATTGATTGTAAAACGTGTGTTTGAACAATATGAAATCAGTGTACCTTGAAAAAGAACAGAATAACAGCGACTTTTAGGGAACAAGGGAAGACAACCATAAGGTCTGACTGCCTGCGGGGTCAGGCAAAAAGAGACATATTTTTCTTCTTGCCGAGAGCCTATAAACGGTTGTGCAAGTAGGAGAGATATCACTAAATTATTTTCCTAGCAAGGAATATTAATATTAATACGCTAGGAAACGAATGCATTCCTGGGGCGAGGTCTATAAACGGCCGCTCTGGGAATGTCTGTCCTATGCGGTTGAGATAAGGACTGAGATACGCCCTGGTCTCCTGCAGTAACTTCAGGCTTACTAGGATTGGGAAACTCCACCCTGGTAAATTTTTGGTCAGACCAGTTCTCTGCTCTCGAACTCTGTTTTCTGTTGTTTAAGATGTTTATCAAGATAATACGTGCACCACTGAACATAGACCCTTATCAGGAGTTCTGCCTTTTGCCCTTTGTTCTGTTTCCCCAGAAGCATATGATCTTTGTTCTACCTTTTGCCCTTTGAAGCATGTGATCTTTGTACCTACTCCCTGGTCGTACACCCCCTCCCCTTTTGAAATCCTTAATAAAAACTTGCTGGTTTCAAGGCTTGGGCAGGCATCAAGGTCCTACCGATATGTGATGTCACCCCCGGCGGCCCAGGTGTAAAATTCCTCTCTTTGTACTCTTTCTCTTTATTTCTCAGCCAGCTGATATTATGGAAAATAGAAAGAACCTACATTGAAATACTGGGGGCAGGTTCCCCCAATACCCAGCTATCTCACTGATGAGAAGAATGAGGGATCTCACTGATAAGTTAACTGTGTCACTCATATTGGACCAGCATCCATCCAAATCTGGTCCCCAGTGAAAAGCAGGCAAACAGCCTTCATCTCCCATCACTCTTCACACTCTGCTTTGTGCAACTGGCCCAGTCTACCTTCTTCCCAATGTTCTGCTTTAAACTCTGTGGTCACCAGATAATGCGAGGCTGTCAGGCTGAGCAGCCCCGTAACCCAACCCATCCAATACCAGGTTTCCAAAGGGCTCCAAAAAGGACCCTCAAAGGCTGGTTCAGGGAGATCATCTGGGCTTCAGTGAGGTATAGGGTTTCCCAACAGAGAGCAAGTGACATTTGAAGTGGGATAATTTCCCACTCCTGTCCCATTCATAATGAGACAGCCAAATATAAAGGGGTCACCAGAGAACCTCCAAGTGGCCTGCACACTGGGGGAGGGGTCTTGGGAAGTTCATGCCATTTGCAGTGGGGAGGAGCCTGGCCCCTCCTCTTCCTGGGTGGTACCTGGGATTCAGTCTGTGAGGCAGGAAGCACACTAGCAGGAATCTGGCTCTGCAGAGCATCCCTGTTTCCCTTTTTTTCCTTTTTACCCAATAAATTCCATTTTTCTCACCCTTCAAAGTGTCTGTAAGCCTAATATTTCATAGCCGTGTGACAAGGACCCAGATGTTAGCTAAACTAAGGAGAAAGTCCTAGAACAATCACAGGACATTTTATAGCTCTAGTTCCCTCCCCTGAAGTGCCAGAGGAGCTTCTCAGTCATTAATAACTTCTAAATATGCCCCATCCCTTTTCTGAAAGGCCTGGGATGAAGGTCACAAGAATGTCCCCAGTAAAGAATACCTAAAACAGTGTACTTGACCTGACATATCTTACTGGTAAACGTTTTCTGCTAAAACCTTCTTCAAGTGTTGTTAGTTTACAAAACAACTGTATGTCAGCCACAGCCCCACAGGAAGCCAGAAACCCTATTACAGAGCTGAACCAAGTGGTCTCATTCAATTGCTGCCCCACAGCCCTGTACATCCTCAAAATATGGCAGCTGCTTTAATTGCTCCAGTGATTTGGAACGTACTACCCTCTGGAGCAAACTGATGACATCCCTGGACCATTCACTAGACAGTTCCACTTTCTGTTGCGTTGAAATTTATCTCCTTATAACTTCTACCTGCTGGACTTGAGTCTGACCTCTAAAGGCTGCATGCGCACACACACACACACACACACACACACACTCTCTCTCTCTCTCTCTCTCTCTCATGCAGCTGCCCTTGAAATATCTGAAGAACACTACCTTATCCCTTCCCAATTTAGCAAGCAGCCTGATCCAACTCTTCTTCTACAGTTTTATCATTTTTAGACCACTTAACTGTATGTGTCAGTCACTTTACCTGTGTTATCTTTTATTTTCACAAAACCCCATCAAATAAGCATATTATCCCCATTTGATGGAGGAAACTAAGCAGTCAACCCAAATCTCCTTGGGAAGTAAAGGACGTAGCCCATATTTACTCATTTTCAAGTTCATGTTTCTTCCATTAAAAACCTGTAGTTCCCACACCTGACTCCAAGAATGAGTAGGACAGGTTTATTTTTAAAATAGAAACACTGTGCACAGGTCCTAAAACAGATTAAATGAATCAGAACCAGATGGTTCTGATAGAACTGATCCAGAGAGTGGCATTTAAAAACTGCTGCCTCATGGGATATGTAATCTCCTCAATCTCTTTTTACCCTTTTTAGGAGAATAAAAATCAAGACACTTTCTACAATGTGTATGCCAAGTATGGCCTGACCGGCACACTCCAGAACAGACCCACTCTCCTCCCCTACACGTGAAACCTGAGATGCCATCCCGTCAACTGTAAGAGTGGGGAAAATGGCGCCCAAGCACACAGCTAGAGATTCAGCGTGGCCACTCCCCTCAGACTTTGTGCCTCTAGCTTTTTTCCCCCATGCTAGTCTTCACGTGAAGTGCATCTCTCGAAGGCAATTAAAATTACACAGTGCCCTGATTTCAGTCTTCCTGTAACCATGCTGAATATTTTCCACTTAAAAAAATTAAGTTTTAATTAAGTTTTTTCATCAAAACACAAGTCCTGCTGATAATGTCAGGAAGGCCTGAGAAAGTAATTACATGCGCAATCTGTTTTTGACATACTTCATTCTCCTTTGGGACATTTCTTCTGTCTCCTTTACTTCATTAAAAATCCCCTATTGTCGTAGGAAGGCTTGATTTCTTCTCTATTTACCATAACAGAGACTAAGACCCAGGTTTCCTCCTTCAGCACACAGCAGCAACACCTCATACATTGAATGGACTTTGTTAGGCATTTGGGTTACACACCCGGGTCTTCGTTCTACGTGTCCCTTTGTTCTGATCACCTACCAGTGTAGTTGTATGAAGGCACTTTGGTGGAGCCCACCACTCACTCTCCTTAGCTCCTGTCTCAGGCTAATATGTGTCTCACCATTCCATGAAGAAAATATGCTCTACTCTCTGATTTCCTTAAGATAGACCTGATAAAGAGGATACACAATTATCAACAGATCAAATGTTGTTTCTGTTTGGCATCTGGCAAACCAACACCCATATTTTCCACGTGACATGGATTGGATTTGCGTCCCTACCCAAATCTCATGTCAAATTGTAATCCCCAAGGTTGAAAGAGGGGCCTGGTAGGAGGTGATTGGATCAATGTGGAGGAGGGCCTGGTGGGAGGTGACTGGGTGGTAGGGGTGGATTTCCCCCTTGCTGTTCTCTTGGCAGTGAGTGAGTTCTTACGAGATCTGGTTGTTTAGAAGTATGTAGCACCTCGCAGCAATTTCTCTTCCTTCTGCTTGGGCTATGTAAGACGTGCCTGCTTCCCCTTAACCTTCTGCCATGATTGTAAGTTTCCTGAAGTCTCCCCAGGCATGCTTTCCATAGAGCCTGGGGATCCTCTTTTCTTTACAAATTACCCAGTCTCAGGTAATTTTTTATAGCAGTGTGAGAATGGACTAATACATCATGCCTGGCTCTAACTTCGTGTATAATTTCCTAGGACTGCCATAAGAAGTTGCCACAAACTACGTGGCTTAAAACAGAAATTTATTCTCTCTGAGTTTTAGAGGCCCGAAGTCTGGAATCAAGGTGTTGACAGGGTCACGCTCCCTCTGAAGGCTCTAGGGAAGAATCCTTTCTTGCCTCTTCCAGCTTCTGGTGCTCCTGGCATTCCTTGGTTCTAGATGCATAACTCCAAGGTCAGCTTCTGCATCTCCCCATGGGCTTCTTTGCTTTGTCTCTGTGCCTTCTCAATTTCTTAATGACAACAATAATTGGATTCAGGGCCCACCCTAAATCCAGGATGATTTCATCTCAAGAACCTTAACTAATTACATCTACAAAGTTCCTATTTCCATATAAAGTAACATTCTGAGGTTCCAGGTAGACGTGAATTTGGGAGGAACACTATTCAACTCACCAGTCTTGTCTGATGCAGTCCTTTTGGGTAGCCCAATAGTAAGATGGGAAAAATTTGAAGCCACAGCCAGGATCAAAAAGACCAAGATTCTTATCTTAATCTGCTAAAGGATAAAGGAGAGATACCTCCGAAGGGAACCATACAGGCATGATTTTTTTGACTCATGTTTTTGACTGGCATAAGGTACAAAGCCCAACTAAAGACATTTGAATATGTCTACAATTTAAATTTGGAGATATATGACCCCAAATCTGTAGACTAGACACCCCAAAATTGGCATGAATTATTTTATCAGCAAGTAGAATTATTCCTATCCCATGCCAGTCACTGTTTGCTTCTACTTTTTATCTTTATTTAATAAATCTGATTTGTATTCCTCTCTGACAATTTGTTTCCAGATTCAAAATAATGGGTTTCAGGAAATTTGGGCTCCACCATAATTTGGTCCCAAACGTTCCTTTAACCTATATTTCACACTGTTCATAACCCTTCATACATGCTCCAGGCCAGCCAACAGCAACCACTCCACTTCTATTGAATATAATTTCTACCTTCCCGTTTCAACCTGTTCCTTCCAGCTGGAATGATAACTGATTTCTTCTCTGCCCCGCCATGTGGTGGTTTTAAAACATGTTGTCAAATTCTTCAACACTCCCCCCATTGAAGAGTGAACTCTAATTCCCCTTACCCTGAATATGGCTGGGCCATGTCTAATGAACAGAATGCCATGGAAGTGATGCTAGATGACTTCTGAGGCGAGGTCATGAAAGGTGATAGTCTCTGTCTGGCTCTCACTTTATTCTTGTGACACTCACCTTGAAACCCAGCAGACCAAGCTCTGAAGAAGCTAAGCAGCCACATGTAAAGGACACGAGTAGGTGCTCCAGCCACAACCCCTGCTCAAGTTCGGCCAACAGCCAGCATCAACTGCCATACATTTGAGTGAGCAAGCTGTCTTATGATTCCAACCCCAGCCTCAGGCTCCCCCAGCTGACACCAAGTGGTGCGGAGATAAGCTATCCACCAAGCCTTGCCAAAATTCAGATTAATGAGCACAGTAAATGTTGTTTTAAGCCATAACTGTTGGGACTTTATCATGCAATGTTAGATAACTGGAATGCTCTACTTCTGCCCATCTTGACCTTTTAAAAATCCACTCATTTTTAGGCTATGTAACAACAGCTTACTTTATGACACCATACTATACTTTGAATTCAACCTGTCCAAAGTAAAAGTCAACTTTCCTCCTAAATCTTGTTTTATCTCAGCTTTCTATCTCAGTGAATGGTGTGACCATTCATCCTACTCAGCAGGCTAGAAATCTAGGGGCCATGCTAATAACCCTGCCCCCACACCATATTCAATCAATACCAAGTTCTATTGATTCTGCCTCTTCCACATCTCTAGAACTCATCCATATCTCTTTCTTTAAGGGGTCCACCTGAATTATTGCATCTTTCACCTGGGAACAATAGCACCCTGGATGATCTTACTACCACTCCTCTCCAAAGGCACTAAAGCAATCTTTGCAAACCACAAATGTGTTCCCTTCATGTTTACTGCTTAAAACCCATCAATGATTTTCCATTGTTCTTTGAATAAAACCCTCATTTTTTTAAAAGACAGGGTCTCACTCTGTTGCCCAGGCTGGAGTGCAGTGGCACAATACCAGCTTACTGCAGCCTCGAACTCATGGACACAAGTGATCTTCCCACCCTCAGCCTCCTGAGTAGCTGAGACTACAGGTTTGCATCACCATACCCAAATAATTTTTTTCTATTTTTTTGTAGAGATGGGTTCTTGCTATGTTGCCCAGGCTGGTCTTGAACTCCTGGCCTCAAGTGACCCTCCTATCTCTCAATTTTTTTTTTTTTTTTTTTTTTTTTTAGATGGAGTCTTGCTCTGTCACCCAGGCTGGAGTGCAGTGGTGCAATCTCGGCTCACTGCAAGCTCTGCCTCCCAGGTTCATGCCATTCTCCTGCCTTAGTCTCCTGAATAGCTGGGACTACAGACGCCTGCCACCATGCCCAGCTAATTTTTTGTATTTTTAGTAGAGATGGGGTTTCACCATGTTAGCCAGGATGGTCTCAATCTCCTGACTTCGTGATCTGCCCGCCTTGGCCTCCCAAAGTGCTGGGATTACAGGCATGAGCCACTGCACCCAGACTTCTCAAATTTTTAAAGTGGTTATAAGGTCCTGCATAGCCTGGTGGTAGTCTCCACCTCCCACTCTGGATTCATCCCACCTGTACTCTTCCTTGCCCTCTGGGTGCCAGTGCCCTTACCCTTGTTCATTCTTTCAATAGCCCTGTGCTTTCTCTTACCACACAGCATTGGCATGAGCTGCTGTCTGTATCTGCAATATAATTCTGTACCCCATGTGCTACGATTTGAATGTGTTCTCCAAAGTTTATGTGCTGGAAACCTAATCCCCATGCAACAGTGTTGGGAAGTGGGACCTTTAACAGGCAATTAGGTCATGAGGGCTCATGAATAGATTAATGTCATTATTGCAAGAGTGGTTTGTTATAAAAGTGAGTTCGGCCCTCTTTTGTTCTCTCTTGTGCACATGTTCTCTTGCCCTTCTGCCTTCTGCCACAGGATCATGCAGCAAGAAGGTTCTTGCCAGACGCTGGCTTTCTTTTCTTTATAAATTACCCAGTCTCTGGTATTCTGTTATAAACAGCACAAAATAAACTAAGACAAAAAATTGGTATCGAGAAGAGGGTTTATTACAGTAACAAATACCTGAAAACACGGAAGAAGCTTTGGAATTTAGTAATAGGTAGAGGCTGGAAGAATTTGGAGGAGCAAGATTTTAAGAAGCATAGATTGTCATGAATGGGGCATTAAGGGTGATTCTGGTGAGAACTCAGAGGAAGAAAAGAACTGCAGAGAAACTGGGATTTCCTAGAGGTTACTTAAGACGTCATGATCAGTATGTTGGTAGAAACATGGACAGTAATGGCCATCCTGATGAAGTCTCAGATGGATCTGAGGAACAGTGTATTGGAAACTGGAGTAAAGGCCATCCTTGTGATACAGTTACAAACTTGGTGGAATTGTGTCTATGTCCTAGGACTTTATGGAAGGCAGAACTTAAGAGTGATGAACTAGGCTAAGTAGCAAATGCCTAAGTAGCAAAGTTGAAGGTGCTGCATGGCTTCTTTCAGCCACTTACAGTAAAATAAGAAGGAAATGATTTAAAGACAAATTTGTAACTAAAAGGGAAGAAGAAAGTAAAAGTTTTGAAAATTTTCAGCCTGGCCATGTAAAGAATGAAAAAAGCATGTTTGGGAGACAATATTAAGGGTGTGGAGATTATTCTCCAGATTTACGACTTTATGTTGTTTTTCCTGTTGGGTTTTGAACTCACTTGGGACTAGTTACTCTTTTTTTCTTGCCTATTTCTCCATTTTGGAATAAGAATGGCTATCCTATGCCTGTCTCACCATTGTATCAAAAATAGATAAATTGTTTAATTTCACAGGCTCACAGCTGGAGGGGAATTTGCCTCAGGGTGAATCATGCCTTGAGTCTCACACATATCTGATTTAGATGAGACTATGGACTTTGGACTTTTAAGCTGATGTTGGAATGAGTTAAGATTTTTAGAGCAATTGGTATGAAATAAATATATTTTACATGTGAGAAGAATGTGAATTTTGAATACCAGAGGCAGAATGCTATGATTTGAATGTGTCCTCTGAAGTTCATGAGTTGGAAACTTAACCCCCAATGCAAGAGTGTTGAGAGGTAGAACTTAGAGGTGGTTAGGTCATGAGGGCAGAGCCCTCATGAATGGATTGATGTCATTATTGTGAGAGTAGGTTTGTATCATAAGACTGGGCTTGTTATAAAAGTGAGTTTGGCCCTCTGTTGCTCTCTGTGGCATGTGTGCTCTCTTGCTTTCCTGCCCTCCACCATGAGATGATAGAGCAAGAAGGTTCTTGCCAAATGACAGCCCATTAACTTTGGACTTCTTAGCCTCTGGAACCGTAAAAAATAAATTTCTGAGTTTTTAAAATAAATTACTCAGTCTCAGGTAACAGAGAACAGACTAAGACACCATCCCTTCCCAAATTAATTGTTCTTAATCCTTTAATCTTCCCTTAAATATCACTTCCACAGGGGAGCCCTTTATCCCTAGACAGATGAGATTCCTCTACTATACATCTCCTGTCATTTACCACACTTATAATTTTACATTTACTTGAGTAATCTAAAGATTCATGGCTGGGCGTGGTGGTTCACACCTGTAATCCCAGCATTTTGGGAGGCCAAGGCAGGTGGATCACTTGAGGTCAGAAGTTTGAGATCAGCCTGGCCAACATGGTGAAACCCCATCTCTACTAAAAATCCACAAAAAAATTAGCCCAGTGTGGTGGCAGATGCCTGTAATCCTACCTACTTGGGAGGCTGAGACACAAGAATCGCTTGAACCCAGGAGGTAGAGGTTGCAGTAAGCTGAGATGGAACCAGTACGCTCCAACCTGGGCAACAGAGTGAGGCTCCATTGAAACCACCTTTACAAAATTTTAACTGAGGAAATTATGATGGTGAAAGAAATCAGACCTAACCTACTCCATCTTGTTTCTATCCTTTAAGCTGTCCTTGTTCATTCTTGGGCGTAGGCTGAACTAACTTTGGGAAGGAATTCTGTCCATGGTTTGACTCTGAAGCAAAATTGCTAGCAGCCCTTTCCCACGTAGACCCCCTTCTTGCCTAGGGACCAGTCTGCCTTTGCAGTACTAACAAATTAGCTACAAGATTAGAAATTACAGTTTAGGGGTCATGCAGCCTCTGGCTCCAAGAGTCTGAACCTCCCCAAATTGCTCCTGGGGATAACATCACTATTGTAAAACCTAACATCAGTTCTTGAGATATTTTGCAGACTCTGCACTCCATGGATCAGCTGACACCACCCAGACCAGTAATGTGGCTCAACCAATTCTGCCATTCCACCCAGGAACATAGACAGCAAGAAAAACTCACTTCGACCCCTCTATGATTCCATCTCCAACCTGACCAATCATCACTCCTCGCTTCCTGAGCCCCTACCTGCCAAATTATCTTTAAAAACTCTGATCCCTGAATGCTTCAGGAGACTGATTTCAGTAATAATAAAACTCTCATTCCTGCACAGCTGGCTCTGTGTGAATTACTCTTTCTTCACTGCAATTCCCCTGTCTCGATACATTGGCTCTGTGAAGGCAGCAGGCAATGTGAACCCACTGGGTGGTTATACCGCTTCAAAAAAAAAAAAAAAATGAATCATGAATGTCTCCTCTACCAGACTCAACTGTAGAAGAGCAGGAATGGTGTCTTCTTTTGCTCTCCACTCTGTTCCCAGCTTGTAGCTACATAGTGTACACACAATAAATATTAGCTGAGTGGATGAACCATTTCTTCTCTGTCTTTAAATGTAATACCTTGCTCCAAATAGATTTTCGATAAATACGAATAAATGGAGAATGCCATTTTAAATCATTCAAAAGGGCTCTTGCAGAATAAAAGACTTAGAAGAGAAAAAGTTGAACCTCAAGGCTCAAAAATACAATCATCTTTCCACTGTTGATCTATGAACTCATGAAAGAGAAGCTTCTCCTAGGGACAGGGTAACATTCATCGGGGGAAAGGGGTTTTAAAACATTAAATAATAAGTTTGCAAACTTTTCCTTTAGGGACTAAGAATTTTAGCTTTTTTGCCAGTTATTATTCCCAAACTCTGCTAAGTGATCACTATGTGAAAACAACATTAAGTAGGAAGAAATGGAAAGAGAGTGGTCTTATGAATCCATGCAATTCAGGCCAATTTATTACAGTTGTAATTTTCCTTTAATTTTTGAGAGTCAGGGTTTTCCACAGTAAATATACCAGGAAGCATGATGGCTCTCCAGACACATAATGGTTAAATGATCTGGTCTTGGGGCATCATTCTTTCAAGATTCAGAAATAATTTTCCCAGTCTCGCCAATGTCTCAATGATGAGTTTGAAATTCTTCAAAGATGATTCCAGTTGTTTCTTCAGTTTCTCTGGTGGTCTTTTTCTCGCATCCCTACAAGTCCTGTGACTGACATATCTCTTACTAATTTGATGTTAACTTGATTCTAATCTGATGGTAATAAATATTATTAACATTAAACAAATATTTTATTAAATGCTATCTTTCCTGCATTATGTTTTATTACAGACATTGCTGAGAGAAAATTTATTTCATTATCTAATCAGACCATCAATAATACTCTAAAGGTAGAATTTAAGACTAAAATGTTTGAAAATGTTGGATATTCAACCTTAAAGACGTGTTCTGATAGAAGAAAGGTCTAGGAATGGCTAAGTGAATATCCCCTTAGCTCAGAACCACATTCCAGTTTGCTGAAGTGTCCACTAATTTTGCCTTGACATAAACTGCACCCCAAAAGCCATTAATCATGTTTGGCAAAATGAGCCATTTTAGAACAATGGCCCACAATCCCTACAACTTTTAAATTCCAGCACAATCAGCAAAAGGCCAATAGTTTCTTACGTATAATCCTACAACAAAAATTAATGTTATTTAATTAACAACAAATAAAAGGTAAATGGAGTGTAGGGTGAAATAAATAGGGCTAGAAAAAGACAGTTTTTTGTGTTTTTTTTTGAGATGGAGTCTCACTCTGTTGCCCAGGCTGGAGTGCAGTGGTGCAATCTTGGCTCACTGCAACCTCTGCCTCTTGGGTTCAAGCGATTCTCCTGCATCAGCCTCCCGAGCAGCTGGGATTACAGACGCCCACCACCACGCCTGACTAATTTACGTATTTTATTTTTAGTAGAGATGGGGTTTTGTCATGTTGGTCAGGCTGGTCTCAAACACCTAACATCAAGTGATCCACCCGCATCAGCCTCCCAAAGCGCTGGGATTATAGATGTGAGCCATGGAGCCCAGCCAGTTGTCTTCTTTATCCAGGATTCTCCATCTTTTTCCTCATGTACTTCCATTTGGTCATTGAGGGTGATTTCCCTGCTACCCACTTGCACAATGGCCACTGATATCAGTAAGAGCTTTGCTATAAGTCTGAGAAATGGGAAGGAAGGATTCCTAAGAATAATACTAATTTATATCCATCTGAGACTCTGTTTGCCTCTTATTTAGAATGGATTTTCTTGGATACTTCAGTTTATGGGCCTCTCCTGCAGCATTAAGAACCCCTTAAACCATCTGCCCTTCACTTCCCACTACTAAATAAAGCCTCACCTGTGTAAACAAAGAAAGGAATGGAACCATCCTTGAACATTAAATGTTGTAAATTGGTTCTTGAGGGAACAAAACATGGACTAGGTTATATTATATGGCCATTACTACAAAGGCTAGTTGTTTACATGGAGCTGCACTCCAGAGCCCTAACTGACCATCAGCTGATGCCTCCTCTGGATAAAAGAATCCCTCTTCCCAAACCAGCTGGAAGGCCACTGCCCTTGATGCACTCTGATATAAATCAGAGAAACACATGGAACAGATGCAAATGATCTCAGGGCCCCTTGGGACTTCCTCTGAGTGATTTTCATGCAGGCCTGGCGAAGCAATGACGCAGAGAAGGGGACTGCATTGGTATATTTATTTTAATCACTGAAAAGTTTTCATTTATAATTCATAGGTACTTAGACTGCTTGGGATGCCTTATTAAAAAGGATGTCATCTCTCTCCTCTCTTTTTTTTTTTTAATCACTTTATGACCACAGGAAAGAGAAACCTCTTAAATGTGGTATAAGAATACATTGTTACCAAAATAAAAGCTGGTGTGCCCATTAATTACAGTGCTATCCAACCAGTATTTATAAAACCATCATCATCACTCTACGAGGAGAGGAACATATACTTTAGTCTTAAGCTAGTACAATTAACAGGTTTTTTTAAGAACTCAGCACCGTTAACAGTAACTATCTGGTGACTACTAAATATACCACTTTTCTCTCTCAGAAGGTCCTGGCTGGGTAGCTCCCCAAAGTGAGGAGGTAAACAGTAAGCCTCAAGAGAGGGGTCACTGGAGTAGAAGTTACTTCAATATGTATTTAATGGATACAAGCATTTATCAAGAATCCAGCACGGTTCTAGGTGCTTTGGGTTTTGTTTTTTTTTTTTTAATGTAAAATGTGTAATCTAGGAATGTAATCTAAGGAACCATAAGGAACATGGCTACCCAAGGTTATTTCTGGCACTAAGTTTAACATGAATCTTATGGTCCTAAGAGGGAATATACAGAGATGTGTTCAGAGTTGATGCCATATCCTGGAGGAACTCAGCTGGGGACACAGCCAGCAAGAAGTGATGGGCTATTAAAGAGTGCACCAGGCAAAGGCATCTTTGGGGAGGACAAGAAATCACTGTGAGTCCAGGAGTCTGGATGGCCTTGTGTCCTTCCTCACGGTCCAGCACAGGACAGGCTCAAGGAGTCACCAGCATGACAACCACAAGGTTTATAAGGAACGTATTTCTCTCTGAAACTTTAGAGAGCTCCAGATATTACCCGGAGAGAATCAACTCCTAAAAGAAAAGAAGAAACTCAGTTCTGTCCCTACAGTGCCCACTGGGGCACTATTACACTCGGCTGAGAGAGAGGACTGAGAACTTCAGCAACACGAAGAGTCTGACAGGATCCAAGGCTCCACAGAGGTATGCAGAAGAGACAGAACTGAGTACTCAAGGGCAACAGAATCTGCATGAAGATTGGAGTTCTTGAGGCATAGATGAGTCAGCAAAATGGGGATTGGGGCACTAAAGACCTGTGTTAACCATCTGTAGCTGGATGTTATTCCCTCCCTGTGTCAATGTCACCAGATTCTGGGTCAGTGAATGGCCCCAGAAACTCCAGGTGAGGGCTTTGATCAATAATACAGACTCAGAATATAACCAAGTCTCTGGATGCCTACTTAAAATGTAAATAGAGAATGACTCAGCCTTTGCCCTCACAGAACTCACCATCTGACTAGGAAAATATGGCCCACATGCACACAACAGTAAATGGTAAAACAATGTTCAAATATAGTTTGCTATGTCTTGACAAGGATTGTAGCACATTTACACGGTAAGAGTTGTATGGTCAAAGAACCTCTCCCAAATCAAACACAGTGGGGACCAAGTCCAAGCTTATGAATGACAGGAACACCAGCAGCCCATTGCAAGGACCCTCACAGTTCTGTGCCTGGCTTGCCCGCATCCTCAGATTCAAGATGCAGCTTGCTCAAAAGCCCAGCTGAAAACTCTTAGGCCAAGACAAGCAACCAGCACCAATAGCCATTGCAGAAAGGGGCAAACACAGTGTGATCTCAGGTGCTGGCTCCATACTGGCTAATGTACCAAGGGCGCTTTTACTCAGATGTGTTGTTTTGGAAAACCCAGCTTTAACTCTGTAACAGGCCTCTGTTAACATTTGCAATGGTGTTTTGGGTCACTGCTGCCCTTTTCACTTATAACAATCAGTCATCAACTCCTTCCCTCCACCCTACCTAGCCCTCTAAGATGACAGTAAATAGCATGGCTTGCTGAGTCCTATGGCCTATCATTCTGATTCTAGTACCAGCTTCTAACCCATTAACATCTTGTGTCAATTCCATCTCAATGGCACACGGTCTTCTCAGAAAATGGTGCCAATAATACCACATCCAGGGCTTTGGTGAGAAACCACTAATTAAAATGATTATAAAGCATTTTTCAAATATAAAGACTTTGTGAATAAAAGCTGAAATAGTAATAGGGGTATAGTTCCTTCTCTTCCTACAGGAGATCTTGCCAGGTGGTCAGCTAAATATAAATCTGATTTTGTTTTTCAAGAAGTGGGTTGTGGATGCTGGTGCCCATGAAGCTTCTCGCCACCTTCTACAAAAACCATGCACATTTCCTGGGGAGCATCATAGCATGGAGATGAGCTGGTCACTGGTAAATGAGAACATGGGCCAATTCCATCAAAATATGTCAGGACCTTTTTAACTTGGAATTGGTGAGAGGATTTCTAATCTCTACTAGGTAGAGACTTGGTGGCATTTACAACACTAAACGGTTTCTTTAACAAGTCTCAAAGAATTGAAATAACTGAGAGTCAAGTGGGAAAAAGAAAGCCTGATCATTTCTCATGTGATTTTTAAATCGTTATTTAAACATGCAAGTGTAGGCACAGAATACCAAGAGGTGGAAAAAAAAAAAGTCTGCCTGAGTAATGTGAAGGACTCTTACTATGGATGTTAAAGATTTAAGTGTTCTGGGTTCTAATACTTTATTCAACATTTTCATCCTCTTTGATGCTTTATTTTCTCCTTGCCATGGATTTCCCTGGTTCCTAGGCAGAACTAGGCAGAAAATATAAATGGCAAAAAATATAAATAAACCTTTGGTGCTTAGCTGAAACTCTATCTATAAACAACTTTACTTCCTTATATTTTAATGCTCAGTGCAAACAGTATTTTTTTTCTTCTTTGCTTTCTGCTTATTAAACTCAGAAACCAAAATAATTATGCTTTCCCACATGGAGCAAGTTCTTACTATGAAAGTTAAAATAATAGCGATTCATATGGCCCATGGCTGTCTCCAAGCCGCCTGAGCAGAAAGTGGGTTGTGCCCAGTAACTGAACAAAGCTACAAAACATTAAGTGACTGAATTAGACAGTCACTGGTTGCAAGGAACAGTTCTGTCTGGCTACCTAAAGCAGAAAAGGCCTATATTAGAAGACTATTCAAGAATGGAGAATTGACAGAAGTGTTAGAAAACTAGGCAGAAACCAAGGGTGGCTTGGGCAGCAGGTCTTACCACAGGAACTATCTGCTCAATGCATGGCAGCCAGGACCAGCACACTAAACTCAAACTAGCCTTAAAACCCTTCTCAAATGTTGCTTCGTCTCTGCAAGACTTCTCCCAGATCCAAAATCCAGAATGAAGGCATTCGATTGGTCAAGCCTAAGTGAAATACCCTTGCTCTACCTGCTAGGGCAACAGTCCCCAACTTTTTTGGCAGCAGGGACTGGTTTCATGGAAGACAATTTTTCCATGGACTGGGTGGGTCGGTGGGGGTGACTTTGGGCTGATTCAAATACATTACATTTATTGTACGCTTTATTATCATTACATACTCACCATAGTATCAAATCGGTGGTAGCCCTGAGCTTGTTTTTCTGCAACTAGACAGTCCCATCTGTAGACAGTCCCATCTGGGGGTGATGGGAGACAGTGACAGATCATCAGGCATTAGATTCTCATAAGGAGCACACATCCTAGATTCCTCACATATGCAGTTCACAACAGGGCTTGTGCTCCAATGAGAATCTAATGCTGCTGCTGATCTGATAGGACGCAGAACTCAGGTGGAAATATGAGTGATGGGGAGTCACTGTAAATACAGATGAAGCTTTGCTTACTCGCCCACTGCTCACCTCCTGCTGTGTGGTCCAGTTCCTAAAAGGCCACAGACCAGTTGGAGACCCCTGGTCTCCTGTGCTAGGGCACAGGAATATAGAGTTTCCAGCTATTTCTTCTATCTTCTGAGATAGAAGAACTCTCCCTCCAAGAAAGTAAAAAAAAAAAAAAAAAAAAAAAAACAGGTACAGGTGCACTACAGTGAAGTATCAAGTTTCCACCAGGAAGGATGCAAATATAATTCTACCAGAGGAAGAACGATGAAGACATTAACCCTCCCCCTCAATGCGCTCATGATGTTCATTTCTATGATGCTGCTGGAGAGGTGTCAAACTTCTCCATCTCCGCAGGTTCCCTGGTCAAGTTTACACTTGCATTCTGGTTTTCAATAACAGGTGATGTAGCTTATATTGTCATTCACAGTATCCAGTAGGCCCTTGGCATTTGAAGATTCCATATTTGTATCTTTTATTCTTGGAGTGTAAACTTTATATGTAGTGCTTTATAATAGGTGTGATATTGTGATTTATAATAAGATATATTTGGTCTTCATCCCTGGCACACAACTCCTAAAACCCTTGGAATCTCCAAAATAAGCGTCCTTTTGTATAGTATTAGGGTGACTTGTGGCTGGGGGCTCCTGGATAGCCTCAGGATGGGGGTTGGTTGCCAGGGGAACCAACCATATGATTAGAGGGCTGGGACTCTCAGTCCCACCTTCAACATCTGAGAGGGAAGAGTTGATCAATCATATTTATGTAAATGATTTAAACAATTGTGCCTATGTGATGAAGCCTCCATAAAAACCCAAAAGGACTGGGTTCAGAGAGCTTCTCAGTTTGTGAACAAAAACACATGCATGTCATCCATGTGCCCAAAGGGTAGTGTTCCCCAATTCCATGGGGACAGAAGCTCCTGCACTCAGGATGCTTCCAAACCATGTTCTATGCATCTATCTCTTCATCTGGCTGTCCACTTGTATCTTTAAAAAATCCTTTGTGATAAATGGGCAGTAGCAAGTAAAGCATTTCCCTGAGTTCTGTGAGCCACTCTAGCAAATTAATCAAACATGACAAAGGGCCTGGGGGAACCCCCAATTTATGGCCAGTTGCTCAGAAGTACAGACCACAATCTGGGACTTGCGATTGGCATTTTAAGTGAAGGGCAGTCTTGTGGGGCTGAGCCCTTTACCTGTGAGATCTGAGGCTATCTCCAGGTAGACAGTGTTAGAACCGGGCCAAACTATAGGACATCCAGTGGGATTCTGCTGGAGAACTGTGTAGAATGGCGGGTGAGAATAGAAAAAGCAGTTTGGTTTCTCCTGTCTCTTACAATAGGGTTAAATATTCTGCTACCTACCATGAAGGGCTGCAGAAAGGGTTTTACAAAATCATATATGTAAGGCTCCCAGCACAAATGTCAATGTGGAAAACTGGAGTCATTAAACCAGTGAGGAAACCTTGCTTGATACCCAGTGGCTGCACCTTAGTTTATGTGTGAGAATTTGGGGATCCTCTACATTTCCTCACGTTTCTCACCAATGTCCATGAGCTACTGTGATCTGAGTGGCTTTCCTTTGTTTAAAAATGTATAGGATTGGGATTATAGAGAGGGGCACTGAGGAAGATTGGAATGAAAAACATGAGAAGTAACAGTCTAAGGCATCCTCTCTCCATTTCACTTGGAAATTACATGGGATAACATATCTCCAGGGAGTAGGTTCTCAAATTAGCATACAAGAAAATAGTCATATTAATGTAACTGAGTGTTTGTACCATAATTCACTGAACTAACAATTTGATGGACAGCATACTCCAGTGGGCAGAGCAAAACAGGTTCAAAGACCACTTCCCTAAAAAAGCTCAATAAGTTTCTCTATTTCCTGACATTTCAATTATTTTTGATTAAGTTTTGATATGGTTTGGCTGTGTCCCTACCCAAATCTCATCTTGAATTGTAGCTCTCATAATTCCCACGTCTTGTGGGAGGGACCCAGTGGGAGGTAACTGAGTCATGGGGAGTGATTTCCCCAATACTGTTCTCATGGAAATGAGTAAGTCTCGTGAAATCTTACGGTTTTATAAGGGGTTTCTCCTTTTACTTGGCTCTCATTCTCTCTTGCCTGCTGCCATATAAGACGTGACTTTTGCCTTCTGTCATGACTGTGAGGCCTCCCCAGCCATGTGGAACTGTGAATCCATTAAACCTCTTTCCTTTTAAATTACCCAGTCTTCGATATGTCTTTATTCAGCAGCATGAGAGCAGACTAATACAAGTTTTTTTTTTTAAGTTTGTTGAACACCTACCATAAACCACATATTCGCTCTATGCTAAAGATAAGATGTCCTTGGACAACAGTCTCAGTTCCTTCTTTCTAGTTATCAATATAGAGAGTGTCTCTTCTTTGGGTGATAGTGGGAGTGTAAATTAGACCTACCCAGAGAACAGGGTAATTCCTTAAGAGAAAGGTGGTGTCAGTCCACTGCATCGATGACTTAAGCAAGTGAGGTTATTCAGGGCAAGGGAAGAGGTAGCTCCAGCAAAGCAAGATTCAGAAAAACTTTTCGTCAAGGAAAATGATAACTGTCAGGCAAATGGTGCAACAAATTTCCTTGCATTCAATCTGAAGCACATACCACTGTCCAAATTAAAAACCTTGGAACAAGAAGAAAATTGAGATCATGCAAAAATGTTCTAAGTGTTTCCTTGACTTTTCCTCCCCCTCCTCCTCCTTCCCCTCCTCCTCTCCTCCTCCTCTTCCTCCTCTTTTTCTATTTCAACAGTAGATTTAAGCCTAAACACTTAAGACATCCTACTATTCAGGAAAATAGATTTGTTCTTTTAATAACACTCCTAAAATGGCACCATATAACCATCTGTTGTTAACCTTGCAATTTTGCATTTTTCACTCCTCTCTGAATATCAATATCACTACAGTCACCCACCAGTCCACCCACCCCCACAAAAATGTTAGGAGAAGGTGAGGAAAAAGAAGTTTAGCAGGAAAAAAAAAAGAATATTAGGCTACTCAGAATACAATTTTGTTAACTATTCCTTACCTCTCTCTCGTGCTGTAACAACTTATAAAATAGGGACACATTTATAATAGTAAATATAAAAAACATGCCAGAAAGTGGAGGATACAGAGCAGGGAAAAACAAGACTCAGAGAAGTTTAGAGCTGGGAGGGGACATGGTGATGAATTCCATCCTCACATTTCACAGATGAGGAAACTGAGTTCCTTTATCTTTAGGGGAGCCCCACAATGGCAGCCAGTTAGATCCAGCACCAGGACTAGAGCCAAGCGAGTCTCTGCCTCACAGTCCAGGGAGTTCCTCAAGACACCAAAGTACCTTGAACTTTATCATTATAAAGTTCTTCAGACCAAGGTTTTTGTGACCATGTGTTAAATGCCATTCAGAGAACCCAAGACACTGACCCTATCCAAGGGGTTGGCAAACTCAAGGGATAAGATACTAACTCAACCACTACCCATGTACAAGACTTATAGACAAAAAATTAAGCTATTTTAAAAACATATGTGAAGCATATTGTGATGGTTAATTTTATGTGTCAGTTGAACTGGGTTAAGGGATACCCAAATGTCTATTAAAACTTTATTTCTGGATGAGTCTTTCAGGGTGTATTCAGAAGAAACTGGCATTTGAATTGGTAGACTGAGTCAAGTACATCTGCCCTCACCAATGTGGGCGGACACCACCCAATCTGTTGAGGGCCTGCCTGAATACAATGAAAAGGTGAATATGACAAAAAGATGGGGAAAGGGGGAATTCACTCTCTCTCTTCTTGAGCAAGGACATCCACCTCCTCCTCCCCTGGGATATTGGAGCTCCTGGTTCTTGGGAGTTAGTTACACCATCAACTCCCCTGGTTCTCAGGCCTTCAGACTGAGTTAAACCACCAGCTCTTCTGGTTCTCCAGCTTGCAGACTGCAGATTATGGAGTTTCTCAGCTTTCATCATCACATGAGCCAATTCCCATAATAAGTCTCCTCTTATCTGTCTATCTCTCTTTCTCTCTCCTATTAGCTCTGTTTCTCTGGAGAACCCTAACACACATGTTAAATGGCACATGCCTGCCTCCATTTTTGTGCCCAAGGACCTAATTAATAACTATATTTCTGTACATAAAACAAAGGAAAATGGAAATGTTTCTGTAGAATTTACCAGGAGCCTCAACATTGTTGAAGTGTGACACTATCATGACAGACAACTCCAGAAGGAATATGTGCAGACTTTAGAAGAAAGAATGGTCAACATCATTCCTAATTAATGGAGCATTGGCTACCACATATGAAAGAGAGTTATGAACTAACCACAGAGAAGCCCTCAGTGAATGTGGGGTGTGTATATAGGAATACCTCTTCTTCCAGAGATGGGCAACACATTCAGAGGTAACTGGGTACAGCAGAAAAATCACCAGAGATGTTCAATAAATAGGTTTTCCAATCAAAACTGGCAATGGTTAAACTCGAGGGGGTTGAGGCAAGTGGCTAGAAATAAATGAAGAGGAATGATCTAGGCAAGAGAAGACTAGCTGCTAGGGATGCCAAGTAGGCTTCATTTTGAATTTGAATGACAACTCCAATCAATGAAAGCAGTTGCCTAGAGTTCTGTGTTGAGAAAGATGCTATGTCTGGGTTGGGAAACAGTATTATGATCTTCCATGGAGGAACCATGTCAATGAAGTCTAGACCATAACATTACTGGTAAGGGTGAAAGACTGGATATGAAAGATGCCTTCTAGAAGGCAGAAATTTGATCTGGCCACCAATCACGTAGATGCGTGTCCCTGCTTGAAGAGATGAGTGGATTGCTTATGGTGACAGAAAAGCTTGGCTCATGGCAGAAGGCACTCAGAGAAAGCAGAGCAGCCAGGCACATTCAGAGACTTACCTGACAGTGGAGGAAGAGGCAGTCACAATTATATCCATCCAATCAGATCCTGGGATTCTCTGACATAGTATCTTCCCATCCTCCAAATGGCAAGAGTACTTGGAAAGGCATATGTATAAGGCATAGAGTTTTGAGGAGCCAGGGGTTATTGCAAGCCAGGGGACAGTAGCCAAGTCTGGGGAAAGGGAAGCCCGGTTTATGCTCTGAAGAAGAAAACCAGTAAGTAATAGTAGACTTAATTGTTCAGTATGGTCAGCGTTTACCGATTTTCCTGCTTAAAGTCTCAGTGTGCTCCTCTTAATGTTCCCTTTCCTGTGTATCGCAAAGGGAACTTAGTGGGAAACTCTGAAGTCTCAATTCTAAGGTAAGAGCTGAGTAACTAGAGTATATCTTGACATCCATAAAACAGCAGATTAGAGAGGAAAAAAAAATTGAAGGAATTGGGAATGTGGAGGAGCAAGGCAAGGTAGGTAAAGGATATGGAAAAGAAATACCACCAGAGATCTTGAAACTTGGGGATGAGAGAAAGACAGCCAGTGTACAGGTTGAAAAGGAATCTGCAAAATGATACGGGAACAAATAAATGAATGATGTCCCTACCCAATGAGAGATGGACATGTTTCTGCTTTTGCCACATCTTCTCGGCCCCCCAGTTTCCTTCTTCTTGGAGGAAGTCATCCCAGTGCATTTAAATTCAATCACGTTGTAAAGAAACACTACAAAACTATGGCTTTGAAAATAAACCACCGTGATTTAAACATCTAATGGAACACATTTCCTTTAGTCTGATGCCAAATGTCCTTTTACTGAATCTTCCCTACGAACAAAACATTGCCAAAGATACTAAGATCAATGAAGCCAAGTCTCTGGCCTCAAAGAGTTTTTCAGAAGCTTATGGTGCAGGCCATGTCTGACAGAGAAAAAAAAAAAAAAACGACAAACAAAACATGTCTGACTTCCAAACTTTTGACCAGGTGTGTTAACAGAGCTTAGAAAACAACCATAACCAGAGTCAAGTAACTTCAAAATGGCTGAATTTCCTAATTATCCGTTTAAAAAAAAAGAGTGTGTGAAGTGGAAATGCAACTTCAAAATGATTGACACATGCAACAAACATACAGCATGTATATAAAATGGGGCCAGGCGTGGTGGCTCATGTGTGTAATCCCAGCACTTTGGGAGGCCAAGGTGGGTGGATCACTTGAGGTCAGGAGTTTGAGACTGGCCTGGCCAACATGGTGAAACCCTGTCTCTACTAAAAATAGAAAAGCTAGCCGGGCATGGTGGCGTATGCCTGTAGTCCCAGCTACGTGGGAGGCCGAGTTCAAGGAGAATCACCTGAACCCAGGAGGTGGAGGTTTCAGTGAGCCGAGATCATGTCACTGCGCTCCAGCCTGGGCAACAGAGTGAGACTCCACCTAAAAAAAAAAAAAAAAGAAGAAGAAGAAGAATACATACAAAATGAGGATTGTCTACTTCCTTTGGAACACTAGAACCAAATATAGTGCCTGGTACCTGTCAGATGCTTAATTTAAATGATTGGATAAGGAAATGAAGCCAGCAGCCTCCCACCTCTAAATTAATCAGGTCCAATAGGTAAGACAGGTTGAGAAACAAATAATTACAAGACAATATCTGAAGCACTGTAATAAAGCTATGTAAAAAGCTCTGTGGTGTTTGGATAAGAAAATGACTAATCTTAAAGGAGAGCTGAGTTTAGATTTCTAGGATGGTGGCCTCTGGAGTAGTTCATGAAGATCGCCTAGGATTTTGCTGTACATTTTTAAAAAACAACCGACAGTATAACCACAATTCAAACTTTGTGGAGCCTAGCCCCATGGTGGGCTTCTAGTAAGCATTCTAAATTAATAGATTATCTCAAATCTATTGAACAGATTTGCTTTTCTTTAATGTATATTGAGAAAGTAGAGGTAAGAGCTGAAATAATAGGAAGGGAATGCTTCAACCTTTAACACTCGAAAATCTTTTCCCAATTTAATTCACCAAAACTGCCCCTTGAATTATTCAGTCTATCCTAATTAACTCCCCAGAGAGTTATCTTCAAGGCACAGTTAGTTGGTTGTTGCCTAAGGTCAAACTCCAAGCTAGCTCTGGATGTGGGAAGGATACAAAAGTTTCTTTGCACTTGACAATTTCTGTTACCTGAGGTGAGACAGGGAGACAAAACTATCCCATTAAGGTTACTGTTGAACCCAAAGGGACATACAGAATTTCATATCATAGGCTGTCATTGGCAGCTTATCAGAAAATGTCCCTTACAAAATAAAATTCCAGATAAGGGAGCATTGC
This sequence comes from Homo sapiens, assembly GCF_000001405.40. Classification (NCBI taxonomy): domain Eukaryota; kingdom Metazoa; phylum Chordata; class Mammalia; order Primates; family Hominidae; genus Homo; species Homo sapiens. Next base: position 72,131,405 of record NC_000014.9, on the reverse strand, counting down.
AATTTTAAATATTTGATTTGAGATAATAAGATTCTTCCTAAGACAAGGTGATAATTTTCCTTAAGTATCCCAAGTAGACTGGGAAATCCTAAAAAGAAGACTCCAGCAGGAAATCCCAGAGGAACCTCCAAGCTAGGCCTGCTGAGATAACGATGCCAAAAATCCACAGTCGGGCATTAAAATAGCTTTTTAGCAAGATTGGGTTGAAAGAACACTGGAGAAGCCAGAATAAGATGATTGAGTTAGGGGACTAGGAATCTGGCTCAAGAGAATAGTCCGTGAGCGAAAGATGAAAACTAGTAGATCTGAGTCAGGTTTGGGTGGACACAACACAAGATGGGCAAGGCAACGATGGAGACAGTCGGTCAAGTGTAGGGAAACAGAAGAGTTGAGCTTTCCCCAAGGCAGAGCCTAGCAGGCACAAGAGGGGATCAAGGCAGTAGCTGCAAAAGGAGTCACAAGGGGAAACAGTGTCCAACTCTAAGACTATTCCAGGAGGCTCTCCCATCACCCTCCTATCCCCCCAACACACATACCAATGCAACAAACTTTGTCTCATTCATCCGTTTATGTATACGTAAGACATAGCATTAGCTTTCCAGAAACCTGCTCTAGGGGAAAGTGGGATAAACATGTAGGGTAATTTTCTAAGCAAATGATAGGAAAACAGTCCTTTGTAAAATTTCATCTATTTTGCTTGAGTCTGCAGAGGACCAGTGTCACAGATTAAAGATGGCCACACATTCTTTGTCATCAACCCTGTGATAGAACAGCAAAATCTATTTTGTCTTTGTCCCTAGTTCCCGAGGCACAGAGCTTCAAAAACCATTTGAAATTCCTGAGTGACAGGAACATCTTTTGTTGTTCATAATGAACCCCTTTGAGCTGTATCTTTATGCTATCAAGGTGACTCAAGGTGTGCCCTTAGATAGTTTCCAGGAAGGTGCCAGCCACATGGATACATAATTAGAGGAACTTTCAACCTTGTCCCTGACCTCTGGGGAAATGACAGGGACTGGAGATTGAGTTAACCATCAATGGCCAATTATTTCCTCAATCATGCCTGTGCAATGAAGCCTGCATTGTTCACTCTTGAACAATGGGGTTCAGGAACTTTCTGGTTGGTGAAAATATGATGTACCAGGACAGTGATATGTCCCATTCATGGGGACAGAAGTTCCTGCACTCAAGACCCTTCTGGCCCTCACCCTACATAAATTCTCAGCTGGTTGTTCAATTGTATCATTTATAATAAACTGTAATTGTAAGTATAGCACTTTCCTTAGTTCTGTGAGTCATTCTAGTGAATTGCCAAACCTGGGGGTTCTCCCAACCCCCACATTTGTAGTCAGCCAGGAAGAAGTGTGGGTAACTTGGGCATATTCCACTTTCAGCTGGCATCTGAAGTGGGGGCAGTCTAAGGGGACTGAGCCCTTAACCTGTAGGGTCTGTACTAAGTCGGGATGGTGAGTGTCAGAACTGAATTGAGCTGTAGGATGCTGGGTTGATACCAGTTATCGATGGGAAAACAGTGGTGCCTCATCATGAGGTGGGGTTTCTTTTCCCTCCCTTTGAATCTGGTCTGGCCCCCTTGTCTGCTTAACTAAAAGAGGGAGCAACACAGTGACAGTTCCAGGTCTTAGCCTTTGGGAGGCCTGGAAGCTTCTCCCTTTGTGCTTTTTGGAAGCCCTGAGCCACACTATGTTAGAAGTTCAGCGGCTCTGCTGGAAAAGCCACACAAAGAGCAGAGGCCCTGAGAAGGAGACAGCCCAACATCCCTGTAGTCAAGCGGAGCCACCGGAAACCTCAGTTCCAGTTGCCTTCTGACTGCAGAACAGATGTCAAGGAGAACTGTCCAGTGGAAGCCTGTGAACCTCCATCTGCTGTTATAAGCCACTAAGTGTTGGAGTAGTTTGTTGTGCAGCCATAGAAACTTGGCACAGCCAGGGTGAGGTGTGTGGAACAGTCTGAGAAAGGCATATTTCATAACAAATATCAACACTTATTTCAGTTTGTTCATCCATTTGTTTATTCATTAAACAAATATTTATTGAACCTTACTTTGGGCTGTACTCCAACTAGGGACTGAGGGCACAGATGAAAAAGAATTCTTGCTTTCCGGGAGCTCTCAGCCGAATTATCTCATTCACTTGTTTCCTTCTTTCATAAAGCTGTCAACTTTTATCTTCCAGCAGTATTGCCTTCTTTAGTGTCCCTACTGTCTGGTGTAAGTAAGATTCAACTCAAGTTCCCCTTCTCCACGCAGTTTTCTCAGCCCAACCTGGTCTCTAAATTTTAATTTCTCCAACTCTAAAAGAAAGCCCAAAGCAAGCTAATAAGATTTCTAAACGATCGATAGGAGTTTAAAGCAAAAATTTTTAAGAGGCTTTACACCTTTTTTAAAAGAAAACTGCTGAAGAGGTGACATTTTACTGTCAGTGCTAAAACGTGACTGACTACAGACATTCTGTGAATCATATTAAAAGCATTCACAAAATGACCAGTACTGACGGCATCTGCCAGGCAACTAATAGGCTGGTCGCTGTGTGTCTCTGTGCGTACCAGGGCTAATACGGAGCCTGAGAAGATGCACACGCATACGTTGTGGGATCTGAAGGACTCCAGGCAGGCGTTTTCTACTTCCTACCAACATAACCACATGTTTCCGGGCATCTTTCAACTGATTTCCTACCGTCCGTCAATAACCTATAAACTTCATCCACTATGACTGTGCTGGCTCTGCTATTCATAAGTGAGTGTTTATTTAATGAATCTGCTTCATCAGAGACACCAAGGGCATAAGGGTATATAATGTTTTAAAAACATCTAACAATTCGTCTTGGCAGCTAAAAAAAAAAAATCAACACAATCAAATGCTATCACATTTCCAGGTTCAACAAACACAATGAGATGTGAGAGCAGTGCTTAATAAAAGTGAATATAGTGTACTATATTGAGCAGTCATTCAGGTTGAGAACAGAAATGCAAACATGAACACAATGTAACTATTTACAAATTCTATTGTGGACACTGGCCAATAATTTACTTAAGTTTGATTATTTAATCAAAAGAGAATACATTTATGAAATCAAGCTACTTTGATTTATGGCATTTATGAAATACCATAAAGAGAATATATTTATGAAATCAAGCTACTTTGAGCTGGACTGTCATAGTTTATAACATTTGTTTTAATCCTAAGTGACTCTAACTCTTTAATCTTACTCTCCTTATAAATATTCTGTAATAAGACACAGCCATAAGCATTTCTATAAGTGTGTTTTTTAAAAGTCCTGCTTGCTTTTTTATAATAAGCAAAAATTTGGAAACAGCACAGATGTCATTCAAATGTTTAAACTGTGGTCTATCCATACCACAGAACGCTACTCAGTAATAAAAAGGAACAAGCCCTTGATACGTGCAACAACTTGGATGAATCTTGGGCAATTATGCTGAGGGAAAAAAAAATCTCAAAGGTTACATATTATATGATCCCATTTATGTGGCATTCTTTAAGTGATAAGTTATAGAAACAGAGAACAAATTAGGAGTTGCCAGGGGTCAGGGATGGGAATGAGGGGTTGTAGTTATAAAGGGGTAACAGAGGATCTTTGTGTTAATGGAACTGTCCTGTATCTTAACTATAAAATGTCAATATTCTGGTTGGGATATTGTACTATAGCTTTACAAGATAGTACCATTGAGGGAACAGGGTAAATGCTAACGCTAGAACTCTGTGTTATTTCTTGCAACTGCAAGAAATAACTACAATTGCCTCAAAATTAAATGGTTTTTTTTAAGCCCTGGTTAATTGTGTTCTGTGCTAAAACTCTACTGAAACTTTATGTGAATACTATTTTTATTACTTTACATTTTTAAATCAGTAACGTGTTCTCTTAGAAAACACTGTTAGTTTTCAAAGTAATGAAACCCAGCTTAAGAATTATCTTGTTTTTCAAACCATAGTTTGAGAAAAAACAATTAAATATTAAAATGTATTCAGTCTATACTTAGGCAATATAAATCTCATAATTTAAAAACTGGAGACAAAGATTTAGTGCAGTAAACAAAGTGCTCCTTTACATACTAATTTCAGAGTAAAGGTAACAATTCATACTTTTTCAGTAATACTACTTCTTTTGCCTACCATTTGCAAGGTGGTTTCATAGGTCAGTGACTTTATATCTAAATATTTTTTTCCTATTTTTATAACTTTCCCCATCACTTTGATTGTTAATCATAATCTCGTCTCCTCACTTGGGTAGCCCCTAGAGTTTATGGCAGTCTCTTTAAACAGGAAAATGCAATGGTACGGGATATTTTGATAAGACAATTTTAACACTGCTCTTTTAACTTGGGTGCTTTGTAATAAAACCTAAAACAATTTTTTTTCTCCCAAGTAATATATGATACACACATATACCCCCAACCTCATGCCTCCCCAGTTCCCCACCATGGGATCAGCTAAAGCTGCGAGATGAGATGAGAGATGATGATGGGATGTGGAGTTGGGGATGAGGTTTAAAGGAAGTAGTGGTGGTGAGGGACCCATTTTGTGCATTACTTACTGATTTAAAAGGTAAGCAAGCCAACAAAAGCTGCGTTTTCCTTATTGACTCAGCTGTATAAGCCCAGCCAGGTGACAATGTCCTCCCAGTTAAAACAGCCTCATGAAATTGGCTACATACAGTTGACCACTTCCAAGGCTCTGATGTAAAGATAGCCACATGCAAAACAGAGAACTCAAGTGTTTTCTATTTTCTTAGTAAGAGTTGCCTAAATATTTAGCACCCACCCAAAAGGCCTTAAGGAATTCAGTGGCATTGGAGACAAAAATGCTCACAATGTCCAAGGACTAGCCAGCAGGGCATGGAAAATGAGCACCACCACTTAACCAACGGCTCTATGTGAGCAGAGGGAACCCTCTAGAAAGTGTAAGACATCTATGCTGGAAACAGCAAATCTAAGTCTACAATTTACTGTACTCTGGAGGTGGTGGCTAGAGATGGTGGGGAGAGGTTCCTGCAGAGCTGCAGTCTACACAAGCCAAATGGCTTTCTCCTTTACCTAACAGAGCTGCCCAGACAGCATGGGCCACTCACAGCAGAGGTCCCTGCTAGCTGGTTGGCCAATCCCCAAAGGCTACCCTTCTCTGGCAAACTTCCCGCAGATTTCTACTAACAGCAAACAAGTTAGCATGTGAAGTAAATGTGGACTTTCCTCTATGAAGGGGAAAGCTAAGAAGAAAGAGCCCAACCCTAAACTTCTCAAAGTATCTAAGTAGTAGCTGGATCTGTTTACTGTACTTGGGCAGATGACTCTGAAAGCGAGGGCTAACCTGATTAGGCCTGACAAACTTAACCTGCCTCACTTGCTTTTAGTTGCTTACTTCTAGTTGATCTTAAAACCTATATACCTAAAAGTATCTAAACTCTCACTAGCTTCCTCATAGGTAACATCTCTAATGTATAGGTCATCATGGTAACAGTTGCTTACATTGTTTTATAGGAACTTGAGGTCAGTTCTTACCCAGTTCAAACTGGCTGAGACCACCAACCCATCAACTAGGCCTGTATGAATGTCTGTTGGTTGACTTTTGACATCAGAGGACAAAAACTCCACCCTCAGATCATGCTAACAATGCCATTTCATGAACATACATCCTATGAAGAGCCATGAATTTTGACTATGTCTGTGCAGATCACCAATTACCTCCCTTTTTCTTACCTCCAATCACCTTTCCCCCACCTCCAATCACCTTTCCCCCCACAATAGACCACACTGCTTCTTTATTCCATAAATATTCCTAAACCTCATCTTTGAGGAGGCAGATTTGAGATCTATTCTCCTGTCTCCTTGCTTGGCTGCCTGGTGAATAAAATCTTTTCTCTACTGCAAAGCTTGTTGTCTCAGTGATTAGCTTGCTATCTGATGGGAATAAGGGGCCTGGTTGGGTTATCAGTTCCCTATTCTACTTGAAAGGGGATGTGAAGAAGGAGGCATGGGGGTGCTGGGAAAGGCAGGGAGCCAACTCACCAGTACACGCACAGCACAGCAGTCTTGCAATCCTGAAAACCCAAACCTGATACCTCAAACTGGCAGTGGAGCATTCTCACAGCACTATTGAGGAAGCATAAGATGCACAGTTTTCACCCAGCCAGGGCACCTGGATAGGTGGTAAAATCTCCTAGGATGCCTATCCTTGAAGCCACACAACACATGCTTTCCTGAGGTGCTAGGAGTGACTCAGGCTTGGGGTGCCAACAAAGACGTCCCCCTCAGGACCCCTGGAAAGAAAGGTTGGAGGGCCTTCTAATTCTATTACAAGCATCTGGAGTCTGGTGGGAGTTGGCATCTTTTATATTTGTTAACTAGTGAAAGAGAACCTTTGCAAAAGATTATAATGGAAAATCTTTGGAAAATGTCAACTGGTGTCCTTCCATTATATGAAACAGCCTCATCCCCATCTCTAGCACTGCCACCTTCTCTTATGTTGTTTATCTGACTTTTGGCCTTTATACTACTTAGTACTGGAGAAGGGCATGGGAGTTATGGAGGGAGCTTCAGTCTCAAGTCAGTCCTTAATTTCCAACACTGTTGTCACTGAACTGTTCCAGATACTTTTATGTAAATTGAGCAAGAAAGAGAGCTCTTTCTATAGTGAAAGTTATTAAGGAGAGATAAACAATATATAATTCAAAATTTATACAAGAAATACCTTTGATTTCTATAGCTATAATAATGGCCAGTTACTGCAAATGCTTTTCTATTTTTATTTTAAAGAATCTAGATTGTGTTCGCCAACAATGAATGGCTTAAAATCTAGGGTAAACTGTTAATAGATTAAATTATATTTCAAATGCCTAAGACACACTTGCTGTTTAGAGACATCCTACAGTAATTTGTCTTGTGCAGTTAAGAATCCTAGCAAAAAGCCCCTAATTTAAATATAGATTTTCACATAATAAGTCTTTACCTAGAATCAAAGGCTCATTCGTTGCCCTGCTTTCCTGTGTATTGTGTTCGTTATTAAGAAAAAACCTTGATTAAGCCTATCTTTGCCTGTAGTGGTTTCCTGCGAACTGTACAAGGCAGGTTAAATTGATGAGATCTCTGGGAGTTTCTAAAATGAAAAATGCAGCTGCAGACACAGTGACATTTTTATAACTAATATCGAAAGCTCACACAAAATAAACAACATAATAAAGCAAAGGAGACTGTATCAGCAAACAGATTAAATGGCTGTTATTATTATTATTAAACAGTAAGTGAAAGAACAGCATTCTGTGCCTCTGCTGCAGGACACAAAGCATCTGTCACCTACCTTCCATTTCAGATCTTAATTAGTGCTTCAGCCAGCAGCTTAAGGGGAAATTCTAAGCGAATGTTATAGACTGTGACTTCGAATACTCTGTCACTTACTGATATTTTAAGGTCATTTAGGTCATTACTGAAAGTCATCATGCTCTGACCAGTTTGGGGTGTACTCAGTCCTTCAGCAAATGAGGGACAGGGAACAGCTGTGATACAGTCAAGTGGAGGGCATTTCCATTTACATATTTTTAACCTGAAGCTTCAGAATGTTTTTCAAAGTTTGGAGAAATACTTATTTATTAGTAAAGATATACCACTCTTGCTTTCCATAACGTGCTTATATAAGGTCTTGGGCAGGTCAGACTTCGGAAAATAATTATCACCTAAACTTCGAAATTCAGTCTGTTATTTTAAGGAACTCTCTTATTAATTTTTCAGCATTACACATAATTTTCAATAAGAAAACTAAGGTGACTCCTAATTGACCTGATTCTAAGTGTGATTTCTGCCACACCAGGTTTCCAATGTGCTAGTCACACTTTCATTACGGTCACATGTCATGCATGACCATGCTGTGTTTGGTCCCCCCATTAAAATATGGGGAAACTGAGGCAGAAATTGTCTGAGAAGCTAAACACTCTTGGAGAAATAAGAAATAGCTTCCCAATCCACACCCAAGCAAAGCTTACAAAACTGTGCTTCTTGATTTCTACCAACTTCATCAAATCTTGCCTTTCCTACTTTAGGACGATTCTTTCTTAATTCCTGCATCCTAACTTGTTGGATACTGGAGGTATAAATGAAGAAAAAATGGATATGTTACAATAAAAAGGAACTATCCTGGCTGGACACTGTGACTCACACCTGTAATCCCAGCACTTTGGGAGGTGATGCAGGAGGAATTCGAGACCAGCCTGGCCAGCATGGCAAAACCGTGTCTCTACTAAAAAATACAAAATTAGCCAGGTGTGGTGGTGCATACCTATAATCCCAGCTACCTGGGAGGCTGAGGCATGAGAATCGCTCAAACCCAGGAGGCAGAGGTTGAAGTGAGCTGAGATTGTGACACTGCACTCCAGCCTGGGTGGTAGAGTGAGACTCTGTCTCAAACAAAACAAAACAAAAAACTTATCCCTGTGATCATAAATGTTAAGATCTAGAAGGTAATCTTATCTTAATGATGAAAGATTTATAAGCAGCTTATCACTAGTAACACAGTTAATTAGTGATATAACTAGGAAATGTCTGGCTTTTCATTTCAATCTAGATTTTTTTTTCCATATTTAAACTTGTACCTTAAGCATAAAAAAGATTCTTAGGGAGTATATAGAATGGAAAAAAAAAAAAAAAACGATAACTTAGAACCCAGAGTGCTGGCCTCATTCTGATTCAGAACAGAGGAGGTGAAATGACAGCGTATAACAAACATGGTGATGTCCCTGCTCTTATTTAAGAATCTAAGCCCTGGACCAAAATTCCTAGAGAACCTCCTGGTGAGGGAAATCAGTTTCACTAGGGAGAGATGGGAACATTAAAGGAAATGCAAGAAAGCTAAGAAGAAAATATACAGTGATAAATGATGACTTTTGGAGCCTTCAGACAACCTGGGTTTGAATCTGGCTCCAAAACATACTGGCTGTGTGACTTTGGGCAAGTAAACTTAATATAACCTCATTTTCTACCCCCACAAACCCCTTCTAAGCAGTAGATATCAGTGGTCTGTGCTAAGGGCTACTATTACTATGGCTACTGATGATTAGATGAGGTATCTGAGCTTGAGTCGAGGCAACATTGACTTGGGTTCAAACTCTGCAGAAAGGCCTATTCCAGTTTGCTCAGTGGCTACCTGACCCAGTCAGATACACCTCATCTCAGAGCTTGAATATGATGCTTAGAGAATCAAGAGTGGAAATAAAAGAAACCAAGACACCCATCATAATGCAAAGCATTGGTCCCAGCCTTGAGGATGTGGTTGATCTATTATCTTCTATACAATAAAGTATAATCTAGAGAAGGGCTTCTCGATCTTGGCACTACTGACATTTTGGGTGGGGTAATTTTTTGTTATGGGGAACTGTCTTGTACACTGTAGGAAGATAAGCAATATCCCTGGCCCCTATCCACCAGATGCCAGTAGCACCCTGTCCCCAGTTTTGACAACCAAAAACATCTTCAGACATTTTTGATGATGGTCCTGGCAAAACAGCTCCCAGTTAAGATGTTCTTTTCTAGAATAAGGCACCGTTGCAGACACTGGGAACACAAAGATGGTGAAGATGCAGTTCCAGTCCTTGAAAGATCCTCAGGAGACTGCAAGAATCTGACATGAATACATGGGATACTGGGGATGGGCAGTGTAGCCCAGGACTCTCCAGGCAGAAGACCTAGTACAGAAGAGGTTAAATGAGCAAGATATTCTTATGGAGCAGTCAACAATTCACTAGGGCTGCCCTGCTGTCCAATGCTTCCATGAGAAAGAAGGCAGCAATAAACTCTCACCACCTCTCCCATTCTCTTAGCGATGCTTTTCATATATATACCAAAGAGCACAGCACAGTGTGTGATCACTCTGTGATCCCTAATGGAGTTAAACTGCACGTCTGTGCAGATGAGCCTCCAGGCCATCTAACAACAAGTGTGTGTGGGCAGTTGGCATTCCTTCAGTGTAGACAGGCCTACAATGGAAGCCACTGGTGTCTTCTCCCCTGTCTCATTCCCATGGAACTATAAAATGTTTAAGCTATTCAAGACCCTCAAGGCTATGGAATGGAGCCATTTATCAGCAGGTTGGCAATACAGGTAAAGCATGGTACAAGAAAAGTGTAGCTGTGTTTGCCAGTTCTGGTTTCACTGGAGGAAAGTTTAAAAGCTGAGTCAAAGAGCACAGTGTCGTCAAGTTAATACTTCACAGCCACGGTGGGGTTTGAGCAGGGAAGAGGATGTCCAGGGAGGGAGAAGCCAGCCTTGATGCTGTGTTGGTGAAGAGGAGGATGACTCTGAGGGAGAGAGATGCGGTTAAAAGAGCTGGACCAGGAATCCTGTAAACCTAAGTTCTAGCTGCTAGTCTTTCTCATGCCTAGCTATGGGAACTGAGCAAATCTCCCTCCAAGAATCTTCAAACTCAACTTTTATTCATTAAGATACAATTAACATACAATAAAATACACACCTTAGGTGTTCCACGTGATGAGTTTTGACAACGGAATACACAAATGTAACCATCCCGCAAAATAAGATAGAGAAGATTTCCAACATCCCAGAAAGTTCTCTTGTGCTCCTTTTGAATCAGTTCTCCTCCCTGCCACCCAGGCCATCACTTCCTAATTTCTTTCCCCCTAGATTCGTTTTACATGTTCTTGTGTATCATATAAATGAAATCCAAGGGTCATGCTTCTTTTACTTAATATTTCTGAGATTCATGTATGCCATTGCATGAATCAGTAAGTTGTTCTTTGCACATCTGAGAACTATTCCACTGTATGAACACAACGCAGTTTATCCGTTCTCCTGTTAAACATTTGGGTGGTATCCTGCTTTTCAGTTATTATGAATAAGGCTGCTGGTGATGTTATGGTATGTGTGGTTTCATAATATGTTTTCATTTCTTTTGAGTTACTCATCTTTAAAACGGCAGGTTGTTCCATGATTTTGTGCTTTCTACAGAGGTACCTCAGGGATTGCTACAGGAATGAAGAAACAGAAAGCAGCAAATCAAGACTCTTCCCATCATGATTCCACAAGAACTGCTCTTCTATCTGTTTTGTAGCTGGGGCATTTGTGTAAGATGTCATTTGAAAGAAGGTTTCCACTGTGCTAAAACAATATTTGGAAACTACCTCAATAGATAATCTCTAGTGCTCCTTTTAGCTCAAAGAATCTATCATTCCTTAATAGTATCAAGGAAAATATTCCATGGTTTAAATCTGAATTATATCCTCTAAATATTCCATGACAATCTCCTACTCAAATCCCTCTAATGGATCTTGCATTGCATGGAAAATACAGTACAAATCTATCAGCAAGAACTTCACAATTGCTGTCTGAGTCAGTCTGGATACTTTCAAGGACAATCTCCAATACATCTACTTCCTCCGCAGCTCCAGTTACAGGAATCTATCATCCTCACAAAACAAAATAGGCAACACTCCACTCCTCACCTTTGCCCAGGCTCATTCTGCTACCGGAATATCCTTGCTGACTTCATTTGCCAAGGTTTCAGGCTTTTCTTTTAAACCAGATTGGAATCCCTATCCTTCTAGAAATCTTCCTAAGCCCATTAGGATATTTGTGCATTTCCATTAGGACATATATGATATCCATGTTTCACATCAGAGCTCCTTGTGCATATACCTATAGTCTCACTTCTAAATTATGAGAACCAAGGCAGTCCATCACATCTTTCTCTCTCTCTTTCCTTCTTTCTCTCTCGTTTGTTTCATGTCTAACACCAAGAATGGCCTTTGCTCATAGATGGCTAAAATCAGTACTTGAATTTGATCTGTGAGTATATATGACTGTTATTTTCCTAATCTTCAAACCAAATGAAAATTCAAGCTGTTCACAGAAAGAATAAAACTTGCAGGACATTCATGGAAAATTCATTCTCAAACTTACCTTCATCATTGACCTTTCAAATGCATGGTCATTTTTGTAAATCCTGCCCCCAACAAAACTACCACTAGCACAAAAGGCCCATGGAAAACTATTGGTGAATGTCTCTTATGACCAGTGGGGTATGGTTTCCTATGAAACTCAACAGTAGCTTAAAAACGTGCTTCCTAAATCCTCACATTACCAGTTTTGCCCATGATCTACGTCCACAGCTATCTTCAACTGTGTTAAAAAGCTCTACCCGACTCCTATCTAGTCATGCTCCAGCCCAAAAGTTTCCTTCCTTAGCTTCAGATGTTATTCCTTCCCTTCCTTTTTACATCTATTTAGGCAAACTGAATTTGTATTCCTTAAACCACCTCCCCCAATTCAATCTCATTACTCTACGGAATTATTTTGCACCAACCATATATCCTCCAACTTTTACGTATCCTGGAAACCTTACAACACTACACAAAAATAGATAATATCTATCCAAAAAAACATGCACTGAAGCAAAAGAATGGACTAATGTCTTTTGGAAGATTCCACTGAAATTATGCCAAATAATAAAATTTTGGGAAAAAGGAAACTTTAGAGAAGCATTCTGGATAATTCATAGTTCTCTCAGATAAATAACTCTTTCAACACCAAAACCACTCCTATTTTTCTAGCATTTTATAATTAAGTATAACTAAAAAGTGTAACATTTTCCTGCATTATTAAATAGACTCTTCCAGGAAGAAATTAACTTTTTATCTCAATGTTTCATTATTTTCATTATGAAATCCATTGCCATGCCATTGGGCCTGTCACACAAAGAATGCCTCAGGATGACTTAGGAATAGTGCTGTCCAGGGCTATGACCCTGTAATGACCTCAGAAAGATATTTTGGAAACCTGGGTTTACTGTTCTGCTCCTAGGCTGTAGCAGGAGGCTTCTTTCTGTCTACTTCTCTATTTCCACGCAGACAGCTGGGTATATTCAAATGGTATCCAATATGAAAGTAAATCATTTTTCCAGGAAGGGCAGGGTGCCCTTCTATGAGTAAAGAGCATGAATGGTCATGCTTGTGTAATTCAAATATAAATGGACATAACGCCAGTAAAGAGTAAAACCTTATGAAGGCATGGGGTAGTAATGTGGGGTATAGATGGAGGGAAATAATCCACAGAGAAAAGGCTTTCTGATCCAAGGGAAAAGAGCATTATAGGTAGTAACTGGACAGGAGGGTATTTTAGCCGAACTCAAAATCTATGAAGGTGTCTCCCATTATAGCCTTACGGAGAAGCTGATGTTCACCAGAGGCTGCAGACACCTGTTTTTTGTTGTTTTTTTTTTTAAATGGCAGTGAGGGTGGGGCCCAGCACTCACAGCAAGGATGTTCATGTACACACACGAGCACCAGAAACAAGTGGCCAGCGCTCAAGAAATGCTGATGATAATGGTGCCATATTTTCAAGCCCAATTTTAATCATTTGTAGGCACAGAGACTACTATTAGTTGATAACTTTGGATAGATGGAAAGAGCTAGCTGCAGGTGAGTATCATGGGTCCCTGTGGGTCACAGGGCAGAGGAGATTGTCTGTTATTAGTTGACAACTCCGAATAGATGGCAACAGCCAGCTGCAGGTGGGTATCATGGGTCCTTGTGGGTCACAAGGCAAAGGAGGCAGAAGGGGAAGAGCTGTTTGTGCATCCACCACATAGTAGCCAGCGTGGTCCTTTTAAGGCATAAATCAGATTGCATCACTCCCCGATCACATCTCTCCCATGACTGCCCTGAGTAGCCAGAGTTAAATGTAGATCGTGCACCATGACCCATGCACAAGGTCCCCCATGTTGTGGCTGTCCTTCCCTACCCCATGCCCTCCTCTCTTCCCTTCCTCACCTGCTGTGTTAGTCCTTTTGCATTGTTATAAAGGAATTCCTGAGACCGGGTCATCTATAAAGAAAAGAGGTTTAATTGGCTCACAGTTCTGCAGGCTGTACACAAAGCACGGTGCCAATATCTGCTTCTGTTGAGGCCTCAGGAAGCTACAATCATGGTGAAAGGTGAAGGGTGGGGGGGAGCCAATGCATCACATGGGGAGAGCTGGAGCAAGAGAGAGAACGGGAGATCCCAGGTCTTTTAAACAACCAGATGCTGTGTGAACTCATGACCTCAGGGAGGACACCAAGACATTCATGAGGGATCTCCTCTCATGATCCAAACACCTCCCACCAGCCCCCACCTCCAACGTTGGGAATCACATTTCAATATGAGATTTGGAGGGGACAAACACCCAAACCATATCACCCATGCTGCAAGTCTCCCAGCCTTTTTGCTATTTCAACATGCCACATTTGTTCCCCTCCAGGACCTGGGCACTGGCTCTTCATTTTGCTTGATGCATTTTGTCCCCAGATCTCTGAGGGGCTGCCTGCATGTCAAATCAAAGGCCCTTCCTCGGCAAGGGCTTCCTCAACCACCTTGGTAGTCATGTAACCATATCACTCTACTTTAAACTCTCTTTTTTTTTTTTTTTTTTTTTTTTGAGATGGAGTCTCGCTTTATCACCCAGGCTGGAGTGTAGTGGCATGATCTCAGCTCACTGCAACCTCCGCCTCCCAGGTTCAAGTGATTCTCCTGCCTCAGCCTCCCAAGTAGCTGGGATGACAGGTGCCCACCATGAAGCCTGGTTAATTTTTGTATTTTTAGTAGAGACAGGGTTTCACCATGATGGCCAGGCTGGTTTCGAACTCCTAACCTCAAGTGATCTGCCTGCCTCGGCCTCCCAAAGTGCTAGGGTTACAGGCATGAGCCACTGCACCCAGCCTACTTTATATTCTTAAGAGCACCTATTAGCATCTGAAAGTATCTCAGTGGTATTTTTCTGTCTCTTCTGAAACACAGGTTCTCAACTGAGGATGATTTTGCCCCATGTGACACTTGGCAATGATTAATGACATTTTTTATGATCTCAACTGCAGCGGGGATGGGGATGAAGAGAGGGAGGAATACCAGCATCTAGTAGGCAAAGGCCAGGAACACTGTTAAACATCCTAAAATGCCCAGGACAGATGCATACAACAGAGAATTACCCAACAGAAAATGCCAATGATGTCATGGTTGAGAAAACCTGGAAAACAATGTAAGAGCCTCACGGCTGACACTGTACCATTAACTGTTGTATCCCCTGCACCTCTAGAAGCTACCTGCCACATGGTAGATGCTCATCAGCATGGGTTAACTTGCTGGCTAAACCTCTTTTCTTCTGGGGTTTCATCAGTGCACTGATGAGGACTGTCTGGTATCAACTCTAGATCATCCTATGTCAATATTTGTATATTATTTGCATCACATATGTGTGTACAATATCCATGCCCATTTATGTTTAGGTATCTCTACATCACACAGGACTGTAAGTCCAGCTTGCCATACACTATTACTGCTTAGTCTCAAATAATGCTTTTGAATGTGTCATTACAAATTCAGGAGTTTAAAGATTCCTATTAAGGAAGCAGATCCTTAACAGGGAATACAGAACTGATGTCTGCATCTAAGAACTTAGTGCCCTAGCTGGACAAACTGGTAAAGGCTGGCCCTTATAAAACAGTGAACCAACAAAGATTCTTTCAGTCTGAGTGGGCCACACATGACAAATGGGCTTAGTGAGACTAGGTGTGGTTGACTTATAGCAAGTCAACCTAGCTAAGCTGGAACTGTGTTTCCCAGATTTCTCTCTCCTGCACAGTTCTGGGTTAGTATAGACCCCTAAGAGGCATTTCATATGACATTTGGAAGAAGGAACTGAAGCAGTAGCTATAGTCTTTTGCATTGGTGCCTTTGAAAGTTGATGGGGGGCCAGGGGCTGTTGAGGCTTTTGTGGGTTATCTGCTGGCTCACCAGCAGGCTGAGGGGGCAGGAAGCAGATGGGCCTGTCCAGCCCTTCCCAGATCTCCTCCCTCACCTCCTCTGACTCCTGGGCAGATGCAGGCTGAGTTCCATGGAGAAGGGCAGTCGGCTTCTCCTGGAAGTCGCCTCCATCATGGAAGTTCCTTGAAAGGCAGCAAGAGACCAATGTGGGTTTCAGTCCATCTTGATGGATTCCAGCTTATCCCCATGGGTTCTAATTTGTCTTTGCTTCCCCAGCTTCGTGTCCATTTTCCCTTCCCAACTGCCTACCCTGCTGGCCTCAGGTCCCAGCATCAGAGAGAGACACAGCAACTTTCCATTGTCTGCTTAATTAGAGCCCACAGCTGCGTAAGTCAAATCCAGAGAAGAAATCCTGTAAAATAATCCTGTGATTCTGCTTCTCTAATCAAACCCTGAGCGAGCGCTAGGGTTGAAGATTTGGTGCCTTCTCATGCCCTTCCATATTCCGAGACACGTTCCATGTCAAGATTGCCACATAACTGAGATCCAAGTGGATGGAATCTTATTAGAAGGAAATAGATTTCAGCATGTAGATAAACTTGACTTTGACTCCAGATAGTTAGTAAATGATCTGTTAGATAAAGGAGCCGTACTTACATAGTGCCTCTGTGATTCTTCCCACAAAACAGGCTGGATGTGCCGTTTTTCTTGTTTTTCTTTATCATAATTACTTGTCTGATTGTTTCCCTTTATCATACTTGTTTGTTCTATAAGATAATCACTTTCTCACTCAGACATTTGGTGAAAAGCCCTTCGATCACTTGGGATAGGTGACTTGCAATGTTTAATGATTGTCATCCAAGTAATTAAGCTTACTGGGAAAAACAGCCTTAAGTCAGTTCTGTCTCCCTAATCCTCTAGAATTAAATCTTATTTTGCAACTCTGATTCTGTGCATTAAATATTTTGCATTTGTATTTATGAACTCCACATAGAGTACACCTCACTAAATATTCTACTGGGTAACTCCCGCACCATTTTTTAATTGTTGAGATACAGCAATGCTGGCATACTGTGTTCTAGGGAGATTTCTCCTTGTTTGGTCTCTTATCCATTTTGCTTGAACCACATTATGAAGATGACAGCATTCAATGACCTTAGCAGAATCTGACAGTTTATGAAGGCAAATTAGCCAGCCTAGGGTCAGAAATTATCAACTACCATAGGTTTTAATGATTGTCCTAGGAATGGCTTTCAGAAGGTAAAGACTTAGAGCTCAGAGGTGCAGTGACACCAGGGCAACAAACAAAGAGAGACTGGCAGGGGAGAGACTGGATCTATAGACCCGCCTGCAGTAAATGGTGGGGGACATCATTGACAGACGGGAGAAGATAAAGCACAGACTAAACAAGGATCGAAGCTGACAAGGCTGATAGACAGAGGCGTGCTTCTATTTTGCACCTCTCTCTCTGTCTGACACACACACTTATACATCCACCCTACCTGAGTAAAGCTGTGAAAAGATGAGAACACTGACCACAATCCAAACTGGCAGCCATTCAGAAGCAACAGTCCTCAGACCTGATTATCTCTGGGTAGAAGTCCTTTGTCTTTTACAATACAACAGCCATTTCCTCTTGATTTTATGGATAAATAAGTCTTGAAGGACTTTAATAGCCTAATTTAAACAGAGCAGTGATAATACAATTTTTTCATGGACTTGCAGATTGCATTATTGTCCCCAGTTCTTCACCCCTCTCTGCGTCCATTCCCTTGCCATAGCCTCATTATGAGCAATGTTCTTCCCTACCCCTTGACTTTGGGCACAGCCATGCGACTTGCTTTGGAAGTGACAGTATACCAGTTCCAAGTCTAAGCCTGAAAGATGTGCAGGACATGCACCATCTATCCCCCGTCCAAGGAGAGTGACAGGCCTGAGGAACAGAGCCATCCCAGCTGCCCCACAGCCACCACCTGCAGCAGAGCAGTCTGGCAGAGCCCTGCCAAGCCACACAGGCATGGGCAATAATAATTAACTAACTTTTGGTAGTGGTTTGTTACATAGCAGTAGCAAACTGTTAGAACATCAGACCCTTCTATAAAATAAAACCACATGCAGAACCCTCTATACCCGTCAAATAAAAGCAGAGATGCTCCAGTTGAAGCAGGATGTAGGTCTTTGAGTCCCCTGGCCCTCACTTATTATGATGGCTTCTGGGGCTCCTCAACCCACCACAGTTTGAAAGCTATTACTTTAGCAGAAAGTGCACTCCATCAGGAAACAGGAGTCCTGAGTCTGAATCTGCTCCATCTCAATTACTCTGACACTCAGTTTCTTCCTACATGAGGAAAAAGGGACTGATAATACTTGGTCACCTACCTTGAGGTAGATCAAATAAATATGTGTAAACGTACAAGGTACACTAATATAAGGCACCATTCCTACCATCACCACCACCATAGTCATCCACATGTCGGGGGGCTTGCCCCAGCTACTCACTTTATCACTGTCTAAGCATGAAGTGGGGTGTGTGTGTGCATGTGTGTGCATGCATGCGTGCATGCGTGTGTGTGTGTGTAAGTGTAGGAAGCCTGGCAGAGGAAAGAGCTGGTCATTTTCAACAGCCCCTCCCGTGGTCCCCACTAAGTTCAAATGAAAAGTGGGACAACCCATAAGAGAACTGTTTTCTGCATTTGATTCAGGGGAATGAACTTTATATTTTCAGAGTCTGCCTGTCCCCCTGTGTGTTTCTTATATTCAAGGTAACAACAAATGACCTCCAGGATCTGAGCCTAGATAAAGCAAGGCACCCATACATTGGGGGGTCTCAGTCAGATGCCCAAGACCAGGGTTTTGGAATCACATCAATCTGGGTTAGACTTGGAGCTACTTACTAGCTGTGTGACCTGGTTGGCAAGTCATTTAGCCTCTATGACACTCAATTTTCTCATCTGAAAATGGTGATGACATTCCTCATGCATAGGACTATTAGGAGGACTAACTGAAATGATGCCTGTAAAATGATTAGTTCAGTTTCTAAGAAACAAATAAACGATTCTTATTGTAATTATCGTTGGACCATCCACGATTTCACACCCATTATTTTGCCCTAAGAGGACCATTGTGATTTCTATGATATGACAGGCCTTCTAATTAAAAGCCTGAACTTTGGAGACTGATGAATGAGGCTTAGAATCCTACCCTGCTGCCACTCAGCACCTTTGTGACCTTGAGCATAGCGTTGCATCTCTTAATCCCTGGAGGAGAAGCCAGGTACCTGCCCCTAAAACCTTAGCAGCCTAATATGGGGAGCACGCATCAAAACAGATGACTATAACCACCACCAACGAACTGCATGAAAGAAATGCAAACGTAAGTGGTATAGGAACAAAGAGAGGGAACAACTAACTACATGGCATGTGTTGGAGAGGGTGAGGTGCTGCTGCTGGGACAGCCTCCCGGGCCATCTGTGGCTGAGAGCACAAGGACTCCTCTCCCATCAACATGGTAAATGCCACCATCTGCTAATGTGACAGGGACCATCAGAATAAACCTCGTACATTTTAGAGCCATATTGCTCTAAGACCCAGAGCTCCGCATGCCAATGGATTCTGGCTTCTCAAGGGGATTAAACCAAAGAGCCAAATTGCACTGTAGCCAAGGAGAAAAGTAAAACCGATAAATTGGCAGTAGAGAGCAACCTATCCGGCTCCTTTAACATGTTTAGTTAAGAAACATCCTGGACCCAGATTAACTACCAGATCTCTAGTTGAGACTGCAGATCTGCCCACCTTAATGAGCACACAATCATTTAAGCAAATGGTCTGAATGCTCCTCTGAGGATCCCTTTTGAGTGCGCACTGAATGGCCATTTGAAGCTTCCTTGAGGTACGTACCCTGGCGAATGCTGCTGGCCACATATATACAAATGTGGTCTTCTTGTGAAGATGGTAACCTCTGTTGGGAAAAGGCATTTTGTCAAAACCCTGTCTGGAGTGGAGTGACTAACAGATCCTGGCAATCAGGATTTTCTAGTGTTCTAGAAGTTTACTAGGCCTTTTAACATGTATATGTGGCTTTGTTGTTCAAAGCGTATTTTGAAGACATAAATGTGGATTGGGCATATGACTCATCCTTGTCTTCCCATTTAAGATTCTATTAGATGTGTAATTTGTAAGTGGAAATTACATAGAAATACCATGAATCCTACTGAGAAGTGCACTAGGTTAATCTAGTGCCCTATGTTACCACTTCCCTTCCACATGGAATGGCCATTCACCAGTTAAATTTGTTTCTGATTGTCCTGGAAGAGAAACAGCAAGAATATCCATCCATTCCTGAGATGGTATCTGTCAGCACTTTAGTGCCTTTTTTCCATGTAAGGAGAGTTGGATGTCATTTACTTTAGCTAAAAAGAATCGATTTCTTTTTACAGTAACTGTGGAAAAGAAAATGTTACTCCATGAACTGGCAGAGCTAGGCAAGGTGGAAGGAAAGGATCACAGATTATTATCAATCTAAGCCCTCTTCTCCAAGAGCTGTCAGCCAAGGTGGTCAGGAAAAGAACGGGAGAGTCTTGCAGACAGTGGAGTTCAGATTTGATTTGAGGAACAATGAGAAAAAGCCAATAGGTTAAAGACTGGAAAGTAACCTCACAAAAGAAGAGTTTTAGGGCCTGAGTTGGTTGGTATGTGCAATGGATTCTAGAGGGATCAGAGTGAGGCAAGGAGAGCAAGGTCAGAGGCTGCTAGGTGTGACTAGACAAAGATGTAGGTGTGGTTCAGTTTCTTCATTAGCAGAGTGTGGGCAATGTCCCAGGCTCCCCAGACTCTCATGGTCCTTGTGACACTTGTCTGGGTCAATGAATATAGAAGATCAGACAAAAACTTCTTTCCCCCAAACATTTCTGGTTTTCGTTATTGCTCATTCTACAGCCTTACATACCAAAGCAACAGGTTATAGACTTCATGTAAAAATTTTACACACAAAGTGGCATAAGAATGTCCATGTTTGCACAAGTAAGAGAAACTGGATTTACACTCTGATGCTCAGGGAGCTAATTTAGTAGAGAGGGGAATGGAAAGGAAGAAGGCAGGGAGAGAGATGTCGCTGCCTCCCTCCTACAAGACCATTAGACACAGTAGACTTTCTGCCGAGAGAGTCAAGCATTTAGGATGCTTCTCTCCTCTCCTCTCTTCTGTGTATGTGTTGGGAGGGGATAGAGAGGCCAATGAGGCACCCAGACCATGGTGCCCACAGTGATGAGAAGAGAGTGTATTATTTGTTACCCAGAACACTTTACATATAAAAGAAGAAAGTGTCTGTTTCCACAGAATCACCAGTCTATTAGCAGGGTAATTTTGGACAACATACTCTGAGTTAAAATAAGTCTCTTCCTCTGTAAACTAGAGATGAGGACAATGCTTTGCCAGGTGGTGAGGGTTAAATAAGAATATGTATACAAAGCAGCCAATGATGTCTGGAATACAGCAAGTTATCTGGTGAATGGTGATAGTTGTGTAAGCCTGAACAAAAGAACTCTACATTGAAAGCTGCACTACTGACTTTTTAAGAACAGAGAATTCACAACATTCTTCAAAAAACAGCACACACTCAATGTCAGAAAGTTTTCTTTTTTTGGTGGTAACAAATCCACTTTCTTGACACTTAGTAATGAGATTGAATATTGGGGTGGAAGAAGTCTTGGATTGGGAGTTACAGATATCCAGGCTTGTGGTCTAATTCTCAAAGTACTGTGTGGTATTGGGAAAGTCACTTCCCTCTCACTTCACTTTGCCACATCTGAGGTCTTCTGTGTGTAATTTTGTTATACACAGCATTTCAAGGTAGGCCAGACAGGCAAGGGTCAACATATTTTTTATGTTGTACAGTATCTGTCCATTGTAAGGCACTATATAAATTTATTCACTGAATGAAGAAATAAAGTGTATATACTGTAAGTCAATCTAAAGCATGCGGATTAACCTACTTCTACTCCAGACCATGTTTATTTCTGTATTGTCATCTATTTTGCTCTGTAATTGGGCAAGATAAAGAGAATACATTTATGCATCTCTGCATTGCATTTTAGAAGCCAATTCTTTTCATTACTTCCCATAATTAAGTTAAAAACTTTTTTGTCCCAGCTCCAAAAATGCTATATCTCTCAAGTTATAGACTCTAAAATTTCAAAAATCATCATTTGAAAAACTGAGGAATTCCTGAGGAGATGGCAGTGGTAGCAGTGACACAGTTTTTGGAACTCCTAGAATCCCTACATGTCGAAAGACAGAGCAATGAAATCAAACAGAATGTTCAAAAATTAATGGACATTTACAACAAAACTGGGAGACAAGGTATCCTCACAAACATCAAGATACAAATAGGTAAGGATAAATCACAAATTGTTACACAATTAGCCAGCACCTGCTCTCAAAACAAGGTACCACACTGGAGAGAAGCTGCTGGGAAAAAAATAAAATTGAGCAAAACAGAAAGAAAAAAAAAGAGAAGATTCAGGTAACAGTGGAAAAGGAAAAAACAACATAAAAATTTACAAAGCAAGTTTTTTAAAAAAAATTACATAAAAACAATAGAAGACAGAGCTCTATGAAGTTAGAAAAATCCATCTGAACAAAGTCTCTTTCTAAAACGTGAGGAAAATGAGCAACAGAAAAGCATGGAGAGAAAATTCCACACATTATTGCTTAAGGATAAAAGAGGAAAACGAATAAAACAACATTTCCACAGATAATGAAAGCACACCAAGAAAACTGGCTCCAAAATCAGATCACAATTCTAACATACAATTTCCAGATTTGCCAAAAGACACTAAGAAAACACGCTAGACATGAAGGAACAATATAAATTGGAACTAGAAAAAGTTCAGAAATAAGGTGACAGAGCTTAGAAAAGAATTAGAAATGTTCTTAAAAAGGCTTAACTAGAAGAAACTTAAGAGTGAATAATAAAACCAAATAACTTCAAAAGTAGAAGGGGGAAATTAAATTTTTTTAAAAAAATCAAAAGAACTTAAGAAAGATAAGAAGCCTTCAAGAATTGATAAATTTTGAAGACAGACAAGTAAGATGCAACATAAGGACAACAGGAGTCTCTAAAGAAGGCAGAAACAGTAAAACAAGAAAACATAACAAATTTTAAAAACTATAAATCAAGAAAAACTGTCCTAAGATACAAAAAAAGAAACTACTTATGTGAGAATAACAACCCATAACTATCAGCATCAAGACATATGCTAGTAAAATGACAAGACTTTAAAGAAAAAAAATCTCTATGGGCTTCTTGCAAAAAGAGAATGTGACTTGTAAGAAAAAATAAAAACTGGATTATCACTAGAATTTGACAGGGTTTTATGCCAGAAGGATATGATCTAATGTATCTAGGGTACTCAATGAAAGAAAATATAAGCCAAGGATTTTATATCCAAGCAAAAATGAACATTAAGTAGAGAAAACATTCTTTCAACATGTAAGAACACAAGGTATTCTGTTCCCATAACTTCTTCCTAAGGCGACTACTACAGAATGAGCTTTGGACAACCAAGTGTCATGTCATTGACGTGAAAATGGTGATGACCATCAAATATATGAAACTAAGAACATTAAATGGGGGTTAAATGGAAGAGAGTATAGCATTAATAACTATTACCTGATAAAAACAGATTAGGTATAACTATAAAATAATAGAGGAAAATGAGAATAGCATATGCACAAAAATGTTTTAATTCTTTTTAGTAATCATAATTGGTGGTGGTAGTATTAATATTGTGTGTGTAATGTGGAAGCATGCAAATGAGTAATTATGACATATTCTAATCTAGCATACTCTATGTCCTTGAGAATCAAGATTGTTTGGGCAGGAAAAAGAAGATATAGATGCCATACAGAAGACGTTAAAACCCTGTAGTCCTGAATTGGAAATATCAGTATAAACTCATGAGGTATTTTAACTTTAAATATATTTAAATACATATAACATCTATGTATAGGTATAGAAAAAGCTATATAGATATAGAAGTGGATATTTCCCAGTTTTGCCCATTGAAAAGACTCAGTAAAAAAGAATCAAGTCAGTAGTTATGAGAATCTGGTTTGTGGTTTTGACATTTTTTTCCTATCAAAAAGAACTGGGGGAGCAGGGTGCATTCTCAGAGAAATGGCTGACTCTTGGTCTGGGGCAGGAAATACACAAGATGAGCCTGTAATAAAAAAGGAAGGAATCAAATAGTGCTAGAGTTATACCAAAAGGAATCAAGAGCCAAGTTGAAGAGGCTCCCACTGGCCAAAAATGGGACAATTTGAGCTTCAATAGGGATGATTTGCTACGGTTTGATTACTCTTCCACTACGTTTAAACCTAGTAGTTCATGTTTTTTTTTTGTTTTTTTCTTTAATTGGTCCCCTTCTGAACATGACAGGGAAGCAATTCAGTATCTTGAAAATTAGGTAAATAAAAGGAAAACTGAGCATTCAACCGGCTTTTCAAGTGTGAAATCTACCACAAGGTAGCCATATAGTGATCTAAATTTATTCCATCTAAGACTTTCCAGCTAATAAATGAAAATGAAATGACAGACTGTCACCATTATGCTTCTCTCAATCGATCTAAGTATTGAGTATCTATGGCTGTTAACATCAAAATACAGTGAGAACTAGACTTCCTGCGCCTCCTGATGAAAAAAAGAAAAGAAAAAAACAAAAAACGCAGTCCCACCTATAGTCTTAGCAAAAGGACAGGACTAAGATTTGATGAAACCCCTATATCCAGCTGCTGATACTCAGGAAGTTCAGAGGAACATGTTACACTGCACCATGAGTACACAACCAGCAAAATCCACTCTGAGAACCTCCAACAGGTCTAACAGTCCAAGTTCTTCATCAGATACACTGTATGGAAAAGGAGGGGACAATGGGGGAATGCATAGACTGAAAGATAAGTTAATATCCATGGAAAAGACTAAATGATTGCGGCTAGGGATATGCAATTCAGTGACACAACTATAAAAAGGCAAGGGAGTAATTACTGGAAAACTCAAGAGAGTGGGTAATTTGGAAGGAGAAAGGAATTATGGCTGGGAAGGGACACATGGAGGGGCTTCTGAAGTGACTGGCAGGTCTATTTCTTTAGCTAGGTGCTGGTTTCAAAGTGTCCACCTCATACTAGTTCATGCTAAGCCACTGGTTCTCAAACTCAAGCATGCATGGGAAGCTTCGGAAGAGCCTGTTAAAATAAACACCCCACCTCCATAGTTTCTGATTTAGTAAATCTCCACTGGAGTGCAAACATTTGCTTTTTTCACAACTTCCAAGGCAATGCTGATCTGGAGACCATATTTTGGGAATCTTTGCATTAAACTATGCTTATTTTGTGTAGTTTGAGTCTGTGTTTAATTTCTCAATACAATGTTAAATTAATGATTGAATGGGTAGAAAGACAGATCAACAGAACTTAGAAAAAAAGTTCTTATCAATATCATGAGAATATTGCCTTATTATGCATTTATGTCTGGTCTCTCTGTTCTCTGATGTGCTATACAGCTGATTCATATGTTTGTTAAATATCCCACTGCGACCTCTGGATCTTTTTCTCCCAACCACTACCTGAGAGTTTCTCAGTCCAAAAGAACAGTTGGAATGTCCTTGGGACCTACGCTGAAGACGTCTTACAATGGTTTATTGATAAGGTCAGGCACTGTTTTCCTTTTTCTCATAGGAAAAATATTTCATGCATAAAGCCCACACCTGGGTATCTCTCTACAAACTTGCATTTCCTTTTTAAAGAACAACTCACTCTACCTCCTCTTCTACCAGAACTTCTCTCTCGAAGACTGCTATGGAACTATTTAGAAAGGATAAATTCTGGTCACACAGATTATCAACTAAATAAGCGTTTCTAATCTTCTCAACATTTATTCTCAGATAAAAATTAAAAGCAAAGCGCACCTGAGAGCCAAGAGCAATAAAAATGTGGTTTATGTTCAAATATCAGAGACTAAGCTTTAGTCATTTAAATCTTAGGAATCTTTCCTAGGAAGAAAAAAAAGCAGCAGTAGTAAATAAAATAACGAGTCTGAAATATAACAGAAAGAGCAAAATTCCTGGAATTTTCAGAAAAAAACTTGGTTATGCAAATAGCAGAGGGCACCCTCAAGATTTATCTAGCTAATACATTCAATTCCACAAATGTCTGTATGCCTGCTGTATGAAAAGTACAAAAAGGAATAGAACATGATCCTTGCCCTCAGAATATTAACATAGAAAAAGAAAGCTGTACCACATTTTAAACTGTAAGACCAGGCAAAATGTGAGTGGTGATCATAAGGAAAGTACAAATAAAATTTTACTTGGGTAAAAATGGAAAGATTTGATTTATTAGAGGCAAAACCACATCAGGCCTGTCCCACTGGTCAAGGAGTCATCATCTGTGAGTTGCATCTGGAATGTCCAGGGAGGTCTTTGTACAATCATCATTCCCTCCCTATATTACTGGCTGATGCCTGATACTCAATACATGCAACTTCATGCTTGGTGTCTGGATCTGATTCCCATAGGGCTAGTATAATGCTCTAACAACCTAACTGCTTGTATGTTTTAGTGCAGTGACTAGACTAGAGACCAAGGACCTATCCAGAAACATGTTTTCGACTGATTCTTAAATATTTGTGTGTTTAATAATCTAAACAAATGATGGAACCATAGTCAGATCCTTGTACTCAAAGTGTCATTCCCAGATCAGCCAACAGGCATAACCTGAGAGCTTATTTAAAACACAGAATTCTGTACCCTACCCCTGCCCCTCTGTACCAAAGTGAGCAATTTAACAAGATCCCTGGTGAGTTACCTGCACAGTAAAATTTGAGAGCACTAAGTTAAACAGCCATCTTATAACCAAGCACTGTCAGGTAACTTCAGTTCTCATATTTGTGTTTATAATCAACTTGATAATAATTTCACAGCACACTGTATTCGAAGAGCTTGCAGGAGTCCAAACAGAGAAGGTGTGGGGTAACTGAGGCATCAAAGGCCACGGTGGCTTTGCGTCTGGATGTAGTTTTAGTAAAAATAATATCATCTGTCATGTTAGGTTAATGCTGCTATTTTGAAATTCTGAAGTTTTAATTTTTAAATCTGTTCTGTTCAAGTTTCATTTCCTTTATTTTATAAATGCATAAAAGTTATGAGCAAGCATAATTAGTTTATACATAGCTTTATGTTTGTACATATTTAAGTAACATAATAAAAATATAAAACAACAACTAAATTCACAAGACTGCTTTTCTTTAAAAGGGAAATATATCACTCAAAGTTGGTAAACACTGCAGTGGTAAGAATCAAGAATGAGAATTCGTTTTGACAGAGAGGAAAGGAAAAGCAAGACAACGTGGGACAGCTGGGGATCCCCGACAGCGCCACCTAGAGGGGGAGAGAGCAAAACCGGGGGCGCCCATGGGAGGCAAAGAAACACCTCTACGATACCATCCCATATGTAGCATTTCCAGGGCCTGAAAAGTCACCGTTGTTCCTCCAACATCATTTTTAAAAACAAAACAAAAGATTAAAGGACGTTCAATAAGCTCCTGGGGGAAACGCCTAGAGAGAATACAGTAATAATAATAAAAAATAGCAAAACAACAATTGTCATGCACTAGGCATTCTAAGAGCTTCACCTACATTAACTCCTTTAAATTAGTTAATATCCTCGACCAAGTCACTCCTTTGGTAAATTGTAAAAATGGTCAAAATCCTTCTTTTATAGGCAACCTCTGTTTCCTCCACCCTTTGAATCTGGGCTGGCCTGAATGGCTTTCTTTAATCAATGGAACATGGTGGAAGTGACGATGTGTCATTTCTGAGTCTAGGCGGCAAGTGGCCTTGCATGCTTCCAGCATACTTCCGGGAGCCCTGTCTCCACTGTGGGAACAAGCCCAGGCCTATTCATTTCAATCTGGGTAAGAAACCTTTCACAATTTGATTTTTGTTCCTTAATTAGCACACTAATGATTTTCTGTGATTTTTCTTACTTAGGGGAAAAGGTTTTCTTTCCTGCCATTATGTTTTTCCCTAAGTTGTTGCATATACAAAAATACGTAAGTTCAGGAGAACAAGAAGGTGGTGGATGTTGGTTTGATGATTGCTGCTATTCAGAGCAAAAGAGATAATGAAAGTTGTTGTTTTCCTCCTGTGTTTTCAAGAAGTTGGCTAAAATTGCACAAAGGGTATTAAGTTGCACAGATAAAATGGGACTTTTCCACCAAAAAGTTAATTTAAAAATCATTTCAAGGGGCTGAGGGTTTTGCTTTTCTTCCTAAGTGATACTTAAATACAGTGCATGCCAGATTTGACACTCAGATATCCACATATTGACTCTTGAAGATATTTTAAAAGGTAGTACAAGCTTAGATTCCTAACGGGAAAGGGAGGCACTGGAATTGCCGTAATGCAATGTGAAGGGGCTCCACAGGCCAGCTATTACCACTGCAAGGGAGGCCTAGCTTCCTGAGAGACAGGTACCATTATATGAGAGATAAGAAAGGGCTATTTCCTAAGTCTGAAATAACGGAGGTCTCAAATTCCTCCTAAGGTATTTTGTACACAATGTTTAACTCTGATCAGCAAGCCAAATCTTTGTTTCCTCTTTGGGGCCTTAAGACAATCTTGTAAATCTAGCTTTTCTGGAACATTCCCAACTTTAAATATTCTGTTTTGTTCCACCATTAAATCACGAACCCTGAGTGTGAACTTGTGATTTCACGAACGAGTAGACTTTTAAGAAAAAAATATATATATAATGATTAGGGGTCTGACGTTAGATTGCCAAACTTTAGCCAATATAGGTATTTTAAAATAATGAACAGGTTTCTTAAAGTTAATTGTATTTTGCTTTATCAAAAATCTTCTACACTGTCTTCATTTTCTTGTTTCATTGTGTACGTGTGAAAACTTTCATTAGGAACTGTCACTGGCCTTTAGACCAAGGAAAGGTGCTTTACAGTTAGGCATGCTAAATTAAAATCTTGACTCTACCATGTAGCAGCTACATGCCCTTGAGTTTCAGAGCCTAAATGTTCTAATCCATAAAATAGAGATAATACGTATCTTGTAAAGTTCTGTGATTAAAAGAAAGTATCTAAAACCTGGCACAAGGTAGAACTGCAATAAATATGCACAAAAAAACCCTCCAGCTTGGTCAACCTTGAGATTTTAGAATTCTTTTCCAATTCTTAAGTTTTTATTTTCATTTCTTCTAAGGTTTTTAATCTTTATTTCTTTATTCATATTTTCTGTACACATACTAATATTGTTTATGTAAATGTATTTTGGTAAAGCAGAAGATAAAAGCGAGAAAAAAACATACATAGGAAAATAGCAGGAGCTACTGTGTTAGGAATTAGAATCTTTTTCAACTTCCTAAGGGGACCTTCTGGAGAAGCAGTACGTCACTGATGAGTACATTTGGAATATACTCAGAGAGATGTCTTCAATATACCCAGAGATTGACAGACAGACTTGCTGTTCCTCGGCTGGAACAATTTTCTATGTGGGACTGCCTTTTCCAAATCCCAACGGAAGGAAATATTAAAGCACCAGACACTGACAACCACTCCCTACAAAAGCTCCTTCTCGGCTGCTCTTGTCTTCAACCTGAGTATTGTAAGGTTTGTCAACACCAAGAAGCCAACTCCAATGATGCAGGTGGAAGGCAGGTAATAGAGAAGAGGATGGAAAGGAAATATACTTCCAAAGGATCAGAGAATGTCCTAGTCTTTTAAAAGCAGTAATTCCCCTATGAGGGCCTTAGCCTTGTGGACCCATCTAAGCCTGATTATCTTCCAAAGGCCCCATTTCCAAATAACATCACACTGGGGGTAGAGATTCAACATGCAAGTTTTGGAGATACACAATTCAGTCCATAGCAGAGAAGGTACTTGGGAACAGAGATGCACAACACGTATCCAAGCGTTCACTTAGCAAAGTCTGACTTCACTCTCCAAAGTGTACACCTTTCCCAGGCAGCAACCCCTCTGCCTTGAAGAAACATGAGAGGATAATAGCACAACAGTCCAGACAGAGAGACCTCAGAAGCAGAAAGCCTCCTGCCACAGCTACAGACACTGATGGTTGTATGTTACTAGAGCGCAGTATTCTCTAAGTGCTCAGAATCATAAAACATTCATTTATTCTACAACTATCTATTGAGCACCTATTCTGTGCCAGGCACAGTTCTGGTACTAGGAACACAGAGGTGAACACATCAATGCTTACTTTTGAGTTTCATGGAGCTCAAAACAGTGGTAGACACTCAAAAATGAAATTGATGGATGAGTAAAAGAACATCTCAGTAGACCTGTTTCATCTGTTGTTTCATTAAAACTGAAGCAGTGGCTGTCAGACCTGGCCACAAATTAGAATATCTGTGGACACAAAGGTTTTTGTTTGTTTGTTTTTGAGACAGGGTCTCACTCTGCTGCCCAAGTTAGAGTGCAGTAGCATAATCACGGCTCACTGCAGCCTCAACCTCCTGGGCTCAGATGATCCTCCCAGGCTCAGGTGATCCTCCCACCTCAGCCTCCCAAGTAGCTGGGATTACAGATGCATGCCACTAAGCCCAGCTAATGTTTGTATTTTTGGTAGAGACAGGGTTTTGTCATGTTGCCCAGGCTGGTCTTGAACTCCTGAACTCAAACAATCCACCTGCCTTGGCATCCCAAAGTATTGGGATTACAGGCATGAGTCACTGTGCCTGGCCGAACATACATTTTTAAATGTCAATGCCTAGCTCCCATCTCCCAGAGACTATGATTTAAGTGGTTGGAGATGAAATTCAAACATTAAGATAAATGGTAGGAGGGGATATTACTTGAGTTGCTTACAGATAGATTCATTTAGAAAACAAATATTTACTGAGTAACTATGGAAATCATGAATTCATTTAGGGAACAAATATTTACTGAGTAAGCTGGGAAAACTACGTGAAGACACTGGGAGCTCCTTGTCGTAATCTTGTGACATCTTCAACTGAAAGTCACAGAGTACATCAAACTGACAGTTTGTGACACTTCACTCCCCTGTCCGCACGATGCCTTCTTAGCCTTCTTACAGTCTTTCTTTCTACCTTTTTTTGGTTTTGTTTTTGAGAGTCTTGCTCTATTGCCCAGGCTGGAGTGCAGTCGTGCAATCTTGGCTCACTGTAACCTCTGCCTCCCAGGTTCAAGCGATTCTCCTGCCTCAGCCTCCCGAGTAGCTGGGATTACAGGTGTGCACCACCACGCCTAGCTAATTTAGGAGAGAGGAGGTTTCACCATGTTGGCCAGGCTGGTCTTGAACTCCTAACCTCAAGTGATCTGGCCACCTAAGCCTCCCAATGTGCTGGGATTACAGGCCTGAGCCACCACACCCAGCCCCTTATATTCTTTCTTATCCATGCTGCCGTCCAAACTGTAAAACTGGAAATCACTCCCGTCTTTTACCAGGCCTTGCCATTACTATCTTCTAAGTCTCTCTCAAACCTACCCCTCTCTTCACCGTCCCTTTAGTTCAAGCCCCAAGCAACTCTCCCCTGTACACAACAGTCTCAACCAATTTTCCTGACTCTTACTACTGTGCTGGTGACCCGCTCTCTGCTTGGCTTTCGGAACCAAATCCATGAAACAGCAACCTGATTACGACATTCCCATGTTTAGGATCTTTCAAGAAGTCCCCATCACTCACACAGTAATACTCAGTTTCCCAAGTAGAAACGGGGAGAGTAATACAGTTTGAAAGTGCTTACTACATTTGGCACTGTAAGTGCTCAACAAAAGTAACCATGACTACTAACTACTAATGACTATCACTACTGTCACTTTCACAAAAAGGAACAAGTCTAAAGACAAATAATCCCCGCCAAAGCTATGAGGAAGAGTGGCAGAGAGTTCCTTACATGGTCAACAGCAGAGCTGTCTGAATACAACTGTCCCAAGCTTTTTCTAGGGTAAGAATGCTCCCTGGAAATGGGTGTTTCTATCTGAGAGCTCATTGAAGTCCTCCCAAAACAGACATTTAAAGAAAATGATATTGTCCTGGGAACAAATCTTACAGATGTGTGACTCCCTCCACCTGTGCCTAAGGTGAAACATTAGCTAGTCTACTTCCTGGCTGTGTGACCTGGTATTAAAGCTGCTTCTAGGCAGGGTGCGGTGGCTCATGCCTGTCATCTCAGTACTTTGGGAGGCCGAGGCAGGCAGATCACCAGGTCAGGAGGTCGAGACCATCCTGGCTAACACGGTGAAACCCCGTCTCTACTAAAAATATAAAAAATTAGCCGGGCATGGAGGCTGGTACCTGTAGTCCCAGCTACTCGGGAGGCTGAGGCAGGAGAATGGCATGAACCCAGGAGGCAGAGCTTGCAGGGAGCCGAGATCGCACCACTGCACTCCAGCCTGGGTGACAGAGAGACTCCATTTCAAAAAACAACAAAAAAACTGCTGCTCATCTGTAAGATGGAGATAGTAAAAGCACCCATCTCAGAGTTGTGAGATCAATGAGTTTATACTTAGAACAGTAACTAATATATAGTAAATACTCAATACAAACAGACTGTTCGATCCTTGTTGAATAAATCAAATCATGAAAAAGCCATACAATTCTAAGGATGCATGGACAGAGACTGATGCCCCTTAAAATGTGCACAATAAGAAAGAAATCCGCACAGAAGTTCTTTGTATACCAGGTTTGTTTGTGTGTGCCCTGTGGGTACTAGGGCTCTACGCACTTAGCAGTACAGCAGCACATATGATAGACATTTTCTAGAACAACTTACCCACCAATGAGGCAGGTGACACAAATGAAAGAGGAGAACATGCAGTACCATTTTACAGGAAATGAGGGAAGGGAGGCTCATTCTGTGTGAAGGGAATAGTTACTGCTTGGTTAGAAGCAATTTTTGGTAATTGGGACTCAATTTTGCCAAAACTTCCAAATTTTTGAGGGAAACTGGAACTCTGTATTTTTATGTACAGTCTCCTGATAAATGTTGGCAACTCTTTCAATTATCTCCAAAAATCCTGTGCCTGTCAATCAAAATATATCTGCAAGAAAAATTTGGTCCAAGCTCTGACAGTTCGTGCTCATTAAGCTAAAAAAGAACAATGCCACTAAACTCTGCCCCTGTCCACACCGTCAAAAGAACAAATGCCCCCTGCCTGATGGCATGAAGGCACGGGGAGTGCTAGTGTTCAGCAGATAAACAATAGTGGCACCTGCCACATGTCCACACGACTTCACCCCTTTCAGGGGACAGAGAAAAAGCAAGGACAGGAGCCTATTATCTTAGCCAAGAGGCCAGGGAAATGAAATTACAGGAAATGCTGTGACATCAAGGTACCAGAGGGCTCTGAGAGAAGGGTCCAGAGGGTTCAAAGAGGACCTCCAGGAGGACAGGGGTCCCAAACCAGACCCCGAGGATGGGGGCGGTTTTGGAAAACATGGAGGGGGTTGCTCTAGGTGACAGAGGTGAAATGAACAACAGCACAGCTATGTCAGGATATTATAACATCTCCCCCACCCCAGGCTTTTGGAAAAGCTTATATGGTCCAGTTTGTTATTTTTAGAATTTGCTATGTGTGGGTCCAGGAGAGGTATAAGCCACCTAACACAATTGCTACCAGACATTGGAAAAATGACCCAGACATCGACATAGTTGACTATACATTCCCGCTTTCAAAGTTTTGCCAAACCTCTGCATCCTACACGTTGCTTGGCTGATGATATCAGGCTAAGAGCTGGTCCCTGCCACTAAGGAGCTACAATCTGAGGAAGGAATACAGAGACAAAGTGATAGGCACAGGAATTGTGGGTGTGGGGGACAAGACGCCACCCTGTCCAGCAAGAAGAGGTGGGCTGCATGCAGAAGCCAGCAGCTGGGCTGCATCTGGGCTAAGTGGGAGTCTTCCCGGCAGAGGAGGGGGAGGAAGGGTGTTCCAGGTAGCAGCAGCAACACAGCCCAAGGTGCAGAATGGTGAAAACTAGTAGTTTACAGCAACAAAGACACCCGCCCCCTTCTCCTCCTCTTCATTCTTGGTCTCTGCTAATTGCGGCCTTCCTGTTTCTTAGCAAGACAGGAATCTCTGGAGATCCCTAAGGATTTTTAAAACTTGCTCTATTGCCATTCATTCAGATGAAAAGCAACAAACATAAAAACCCACCAAAGACCAAAGTAAAGAGAATGATTTAACCTGCCAATGGTACATTCAGATGTGCTTCCTGTAACCCTGTGTTCTTGGCACAAAGAAAGATGCTGTTAAGAAAATTAATTCTATTTATTTTGGAATGGAGCATTCTCTGCTCAGCCACTAACACAAGAGGAGATGGCCACACACATAGAATAGAAATTGCACCTCAAAGCTCAGTGTTGGTTTTGATTTGAGCTTGGAATTGTTGCATGTTTTGTTTTTTGTTTGTAACTATTAATATCAAAAGCATTTTTTAAGTTAATGTTTACTTCTTTTTGCTCTGAAAGGACAATACAAAGGTAGAAAGCTGAAGATTTCAACTCACTCCCAATTACTATTGTCAAGTTTCCAATGGCATGAAAAGGACACTCGAGGGTACTAGAATGGCAACTCTTCACATTCTGGGTTCATTCCCTACTACAGACGTGCTGCAGCAGCGGTATCCTCACCCTTTGCTTCTCTTTCTGGCCAGCTTTTGATAACCCTTTCAATCCCCAAGGGAAGAGAAGGAAGGAGACTGTGGTTGTTTGTCTCCAAAGTTGGTCCCTAATGAACCATGCCTCTAGGTATCCACGTCCTTGGGAACTTGCCCCTTCATCTGGGCTGTCCAGCACAACCAACGGAAAGTGGATGCTTCATGACTTGCAAGCTCAGGTTAAAAGCTTTGCAGCAGCCCCCCTGGTCTCTTGGAAACTTCAGCCTCAGAACCCAGCCACCAGACTGTGACAAGCCTAAGCCATATGGAGATGCCATGTGTAGGAGCCCCAGCTGCCATTTAAGAGCCAGGGCATAAGAGACCCCAGTGAGAACCACCCGGCTGAGCTCAGTCAACCCACAAAACCTATGTCTAGAGTACACAGCAAGACATAACCAGAACAGGGATGCCAAGGAAATAAAAGAAAAATATGAAATCAAAGAAGAGTCTTTTCCACCTGTGTACATGATATTGACATTTGTAGCCCAATTGAGGTTTTGTTGTTTTAGCACAGTTGTTAATTATCTTTGGGCTCCTGTTCCCCATGATCACCTAAAGATAATCAAGGCATAAAAGTATGCGTTTTCTGTGAATATATACAGAATTAATAAGCTCTATTTCATACATCTGTGTGTTTTTCTTTTCTTTTTTTTTTTTTAAGACAGAGTCTCACTCTGTAACCCAGGCTGGAGTGCAGAGTGCAGTGGTGCAATCTCAGCTCACTGCAACCTCCACCTCCCAGGTTCAAGCAATTCTCCCTCCCTCAGCCTCCCAAGTAGCTAGGATTACAGGTGCGTGCCACCGCACTCAGCTAATTTTTTTTGTATTTTTTAGTAGAGATGGGGTTTCACCATGTTGGCCAGGCTGGTCTTGAACTCCTAATCTCAAGTGATCCACCTGCCTCGGCCTCCAAAAGTGCTGGGATTACAGGCGTGAGCCACTGCACCCGGCCCTCCTCATTATTTTTAAGGTTCCCTTCTTAGCTGGGAAAAACAAAAGCAAAATCTTCTGAAACAAAGCAAAACTATCTCGTCCCCACTGATACTTTTTATGCAATAAAGTCAACAACCAAATACATTAATGTAGACAATGCACCAGCATTTCCTATCTTTTCATTTCAATTATGGCATTTGCATGACATTGAAATACGGTTTTCCACTTTCATGGTGATGACATTCATTTTTATATTTGCTGCTGCACAGCAAAACTCTATGTGTACAGTACATAACAGGCTGATGACTGGCAGTTACTTGCCCCATCCACATACGTTCCCTCTCTGTTCCTTGTGAATGCTCTCGTCTTTGTTTGAAATCTTAATGTGTCTGTGAAATACCCAATTTTCTGAACTTTCTTTGAAACAGGTGCAGCCAACGTGACACTGTTACAGCCATTTTGAATTAAGAGAGCAAGTCCACTGGGGAGTTCCGATGAAACTTTTGCTGTCCTGACAAAGAAGGAAAGCTGTGGCCAGCACCACCACTTTGCACTTCCCTCCTAGAAAATCTGCAGTCAGACCAGTCATTTTGCAACCCTGAGACAATAAGCCCAACGATAAAGGCTGAAAGACTACAAAAAATAGAGCAGAAAGCACAAAAGAAACTGGGTCTCTGACAGTATTGCCAATCTGTGTCATGTGAGAAAAAGAAAACCTACTTGCTAAAACCACCAATGATTCAGTTTTCTATTACCTGCAGCCAAATGCACTTCTGCTTGATAGGGCTAAATTATTTGTTAAAACTCAGTAAGCTTTTGCAAAATTGAGCTCAATCATAGCTGCTCAAACATAATTTTCTTCAGACCATGCCGTGGTCCACATGGCTGATGCGGAGGTACATTTTCAACCACTCATTTAGATAGCTGACACATTCACACTGAGAAAGGACCTGTCATTTAAATAGCCTCGTACCAAGGAAGAGCCAACTACTCAGGCTGACAGTCAAAAAAACATCAGAAGAAAGAGCATTAGGCTTTCAAAAGCACAGTGGTTAAGAAACATATCAGAGTGATTTGTGGGAGGTGTTTCTCCCCCCTTGCTTGTTGTGTAATTGCAAGAATAGTCTTGCCTTTGGAATATACTGGCAGAAACAACTGTTGTGCTTATCAAAGATCTCAGCTTTGCTTTAGCATTTAATCACCCACAAAACCCCATTTATTGTCTCTCCTACTCCTCCATGGTTATCAGAATCCCATAATTAAGGTATAACGAAAGTAAACAATGTCACAGAAAACTAAATGTCTGTAAAAAAGAGAGGAGTTAAAGCAAGATAAATGTTCCTAAAGATAGCAGTACAGCCAAATGGAATTGCTAAGGAGTTCTGTTTGTGTATGTGTTGGTGGTGATTAAAAAAAATCATCATCTAAGTGAAATATTTAGAGGACAAATTGACTCTTGATGGATAATAAATTTCATAAATTTATATTGAAATTAAGCAAGCATGCAAATACAGTAAGATCCCTATATAAATACAGCAAGACCAAGTAAAAGCAAGGTCATTTGTCTCTGAAAAGAAAAGTGGGGGTCACCAACCACTTATCAATGATATCTTGTCCTCTCTCCAAGAGCTATACCTCATTTACATTCAAAATGATTCAGCATGCAAAACAAGACATAGAACAATATGAAAACCATTTATTTAAAAAGCCAAAATATAAACATACTAAATGTAGCTGGGCTGTTCCAGGCACTGCAGCTGGGCACAGCATCTACATGAGAGCTACTCCTAGTAGCTAAGGCAAAAAAGAAACACTTTGCTTTACATTGCTTCCATTGTTCGATAAAGAAAGCACATAAATTCAGTAGGAGAGTAGCATTTTCCTGTCCAGAAATTCTTTAGGTAATTTATGATACAAGAAACATTAAGAAACATCCCTTAATAAGCCTTATATTTTTTTCATGGCACACAATACATTGTTCTTTATTTTTATGATACAGCTGTATAGTACATACATATCTTTAATTACTTCTTTAATGTTCATTTTCCCAATTAGATTGTAAACTCATGATAAATGAAGGATTATTTCTGTTCTGTTTACCTCTAGAACCTGGCTCAGTTTTTACATAGTCAATCAATATTTACTGAATGAATGAATAAACTGCTTTGTTAAGGATAAAATTTGAAACCCCAAAATTCCTCTCCCCAAGTAGAATGCTTGCTCACGTGCATAAGGTGACTTGTAAAGGTGTCTGTTCAGCACTGTTTGCAATGACCATGACAGCAACAGAAAGGAAAACACCTAGATATCCATCAACAAGAGAGGGGATTCATACAACAGAGTCTGACTTAGAAACTAGATACATTAGAGCAATGCAGATTAAAACATGTTATGTGGGGGGAAAAAAGCAAACTGTAGAGCAATGCTTATAATACTTATATTGTTTTAAAATGTGCAAAGCAGGCTGGGGGCAGTGGCTCACTGCTGTAGTGCCAGCACTTTAGGAGGCCAAGGAGGGAGGACCACTTGAACCCAGGAGTTCAAGACCACCCTGGTCGACATGTGAAACCTCATATGTAGAAAATTTTTTTCAAAATTAGGTGGGCGTGGTGGCATGCACCTTTAGTCCCAGCTACTCAAGAGGCTGAGGTAGGAGGATCACTTGAGCCCGGGGAGGTAGAGGCTGCAGTGAGCCATGATCACACCACTGCATTCCAGCCTGGGTGACAGAGTGAGATCCTGTCTCGATAAAATAAAATATGCAAAGCAACACTACATATAGTCGTTTCAAAACATGCCTGGGACAAAAGCACCAAATTTAAGATATTGGTCGTCCTTGAAGAGGGAAGGAGAAAGAGATCAAGAGGGATATACATGAGGCTTCAATCATGTTGGTCATGTTCTGCTTCCAGGGCTGAATGCTGGTTATATTGGTATTCTTTATACACACACACACACACACACACACACACTTTTGGTATGTCTGAAGTGTTTCATAATGGAAACAAGGCAAGTCTAAGAAATTGCTGTGGAGGATCCAGAGACCCAACAACTATAAGTAATATGGTATGGGATCTTGGAATAGAAAAAGGAAACTAGGTAAAAACTAGGAAAAATGAAAAACGTATGGACTTCAGTTGACATACTTTATCAACATTGGTTTGTTCATTGTAACCAATGTACTATTCTATTTTAAGGTGCTAATAATAGGGGAAACTGGATGCAGAGAATACAGGAACTCCTTGAACTATCTTTGCAACTGCTCTGTAAATCTAAAACTGTTATAAGATAGGAAGTCTATCTTTAAAAACTAAAGGGAGCTGAGGCCAGGCGCAATGGTTCACGCCTGTAATCCCAGCAATTTGGGGGGCTGAGGCAGGTGGATCACCTGAGGTCAGGAGTTCGAGACCAGCCTGGCCAACCTGGTGAAACCCCATTTCTACTAAAAATACAAAAATTAGCTGGGCGTGGTGGCAGGTGCCTGTAATTCCAGCTACTTGGGAGGCTGAGGCATGAGCATCACTTGAACCCGGGAGGCGGAGGTTGCAGTGAGCTGAGATTGTGCCATTGCACTCCAGCCTGGATGACAGAGCGAGAGACCAGCCTGGGCAACATAGCAAGACTTTCCCATCTTAATTAATCAGTAAGTAAATAAATGACAAAACATCCTTCAAGTGGACTTTTCCCATAGCCATCCTTCAAAAAGACATAAGCTCACTTTGGGAGGCCGAAGTGGGTGGATCACTTGAGGTCAGGAGTTGAGACCAGACTGGCCAACATGGTGAAACCCCATACCTACTAAAAATACAAAACTTAGCTGGGTGTGGTGGCGTGCACCTGTAATCCCAGCTACCTGGGAGGCTGAGGCAGGAGAATTGATTGAATTCAGGAGGCGGAGGTTACAGTGAGCCGAGATGGCACCTTCACACTCCAGCCTGGGCAGCAGAGAGAGAGAGACTGTCTCAAAAACAAAACAAAACAAAACAAAACAAAACAAAACAAAAGGCTGAAGCTATAGCTAATTACTAAACCTAGTGAAAGTCTTTCTGTAGGAAGGTAATACAGCCCAAGTATGTCATTTGTCAATGATCTGACTTATTCTGGAAAATTAGAGAATAGAGTATTAATACATCTTCTGGGTTGCTGTATTCTTCTCAAATATCAGATGGCTCAAGTTATCCTGTTTTAAGAGCTGGAGAGCAGTTAAATGTGATTTGGTTCCCATGAAGTGAGTACATCTGAGGACAGGAGCCTGCAGAAAACGATTTAGAACCGGCTTGGCCCCTTCCACTCTCCACCTCTGCTCTCCTGGCAGCTTCTCCGTTCTGCTTACTTAGGCCATTTTCATAGTGATGTGCAGCCAAACCATTTACATTCTCTTTAAAGTAAAATGGAGTAAGATTCCACAGTGGATAGGGTCATACTACATGGATTCCAATATATTTAAAAGGGATTGCCTTCTCAAAGTCAACCTCAGATGAGTCAAAAGTCACAGGAACATGGAGCCAGAGAGAAGTGGAGCTCAGCTCATCTGGCCTCTTTACTGAAAGATGAGTTCAGCAGAATCTAGGGAGGCTGGGTAATCTGGTCCTGGTCCCCTGTCTCCAGGCTCCAAAGCTCCACTCCCTCCAAAGCTAAGGGCACCTAATGCTCTCTTCACGTGAGGAAGGGAAAATGCATCCTCAGTGGTGTCCGGGACTCCTCTTAGGGAAGTCTAAGCCTAGCTGCTTACAGCAGAGAGCATAAGCAAAGGCAGGGGCCAATACCACACAGAGAATGGCCCAAGGGCTCTATGTGCCAGCAGGCAGCGGGGAGTGGGAGAAGGCCAGGAGTTGGAGCTATGGCAAGGGCACTGCAGATCTGTGGAGACAGCCAGTGTGAAGTCCCCTCCCTGGAGGAAGGCAGCTGGAGGGCGTGTTGAAACTGGTACTGACTTTCTCACCCCACTGCACAATAAACGTTCATGCTACTCCCTCTTCCCCTAAATGCTTAAAAGAGGGTTATTTAGTGGAAATCACTAAAGGTGATAGGGCAACAGAGATAGCCCACCAGGAGCAAGACTTCAGTCCCAGATGGCCAAAAGAAAATAAGGGCCCTGGAAATGAGAGCTACTGGGGAGGAGGGAGGACCTTCACCGAGTGCCCCAACAGGAGCCTGCGCCAATCCCATGCTGACTTCAAGGACACCACTGAAGACATCAGCAAGGCCAAGGTGGGCCCTAGTAACACTCCCTGGCTGGGCACTCTCCAAAAAGGGAGCTTTGTGGCAACTGTCCTACTTTCCCTTTAACCTCTAAGAAGACCCACCTTTTCACTGTCCGTATGTGAACATGATCATTAAAAGAAGCAGTCTCCAACCTTTTTGGCACCAGGGACTGGTTTTATGGAATACGATTTGTCCATGGATAGTGGGGAGTCGGGAGAGACCATTTTGGGATGAATAATTCAAGTGTGTTACATTTATTGTAATCATAGAAACTTTATTTCTGGGGGTGATGGGAGACAGGGACAGACCACCAGGCATTAGATTCTCATAAGGAGCAGGTAACCTAGATCCCTCGCATGTGCAGTTCACAATAGGGTTCACGCTCCTGTGAGACTCCAATGCTGCTGCTGATCTGACAGGAGGTGGACGGAGCTCAGGCAGTAACGCTCGCTCAACTGCTGCTCACCTCCGGCTGTGCCACTCGGCTTCTAACAGGCCAGGGACCGGTACTGGTCCATGGCCTGGGGGTTAGAAACCCCTAATGTAAAGGATATAAAAAACAAATTACTAACTTTGTCCAACAAGGACCCATATTACAAAAGAACTACAAAGGCATTTTAAGAAATCTAAAGGGATTCTGGTTTTGTGTTTAGCCACTGTTGAAGGCTTTATTTTTTTTTTTTTTTTTGAGATGGAGTCTTGCTCTGTCACCCGGGCTGGAGTGCAGTGGCATGATCTCGGCTCTGCTGAAGGCTTTTAAAGAATTCTTATGATTAATAAAATCTGATGTGCTATATTTACCTGATGTCTTACAACGTGTCTTATAACAGCATCAAATCTACTATAAAGCTGTTTCCAATCTCCCTTCCTGTCAGCCCACTTGGGAGTTGGCACCCTGGTGTAGGGATGGCAATTGGGGGAGGGAGAAGGAAGGACCGTCCTTTGGAAACCTGAGGAGCTCCCAGCCAAGCTAAGCTGTGAGGTGGTGGTATATAGGAAGTGCTAAATCTGGCCAGGGGAGGAGGCTGGGTGAAGAAATTTGAATCATCCTTTTCATTCTGCTTTATGCCATGCGGCTCTCCCTCAAAGGAACTCAAACGCATTAGCATATGCAAAATACATAAAATGTTCTAATTATCTGACTCTAGTAAATATTTTTTTTTCCATAAACCATTTCCATCAGAAGACCAGGAAATGAGGACCAGGCAAGCTGCTTTTAAAATTCAACAGTGATTTCTCAGCTAAGAAAACACAAATTGGATAGAGCAGATAATCTTCGTATCTAACAGGAAAGATACATTGTAGACTAATTAATCCAGTTTTGATCATCAGGAAACGAATACACAATGTACAGGAAAGTTAACTCAGATTACCTGATGTTGGCCTACTTCCTTTGGCAATATTCACTGAAATGTACACTACTGGGTCACAGCGTTTATTAAATGCCATCCAGGTGATGTGCACTTATTTTCCATCCTTTGTAACATTATTCCAGAAAAATGGGAAGGTTTTCCCCATGCATATTGGCAGTGATTTAATTTGGTTCTATAGGTGGCAGGCATGCAGTGAGTATGTTTTAATTTTCCATTGTGCTTTTATTCCCTGAATGCTTTCCATGTGCCAGTCACTGTTGTGGGCACAAGGAATTGAAGGGTGAACCAGTCAAGATTCTTGTTCTCTTTATGAAAATTAATTCTAATCAGGACAGCCATAAACACACAAGTGAATAGAATAATTTCAGAGAATGGTAAATGCAGTGATGATAATAAAAGGTGCAATGAGACAGTGTCCTTCGAGGTGGGGCTGGACTACTTTAGATTGGGTGGCCAGGGAAGACTGTTCGGTGAACAATGAGAACATGTAAGCTTTGCGAAGACCTAGAGCAGGAACGTTCTTGACAGGGGAAATGGCATATGCCAAGGTCTTGCAGAGGGAATGAGCTTGGAGTGACTGAGGAGCAGAAAGAAGGCCAGGGTGACTAGAATATAGTGAACAAAGGGCAGAAAGGCATGATGAGGAGGGGAACATAGGCAGGGGCTAGAGCATGGAGAGCCCCCTACTGCAGGATAAAAAGTGTGGATGTTGTTCTAAGAGCAACGGGAAACGACGGGGGGATTTTTAAGCAGGAGAATGATCTGGTCTGATTGAAGCCTTCACAAGATCACTCTGGCAGAGGACAGAAAGTGGCTGGGAAGGGGTGGGGCGGGGGCATAAAGGGAGCAGAAAAATCTCATAGTTATCCGAACAAGAGATGATGGTAGCTTGATGTCAATAACTATGAGTGAGATGGTTCCCTTCCCCTCTCCCCAGCCCATCATTTCAAATGAAGCCCCACTTCTGTTTTGCCAAGAAGAGCAGAAGTATTAATAGAAATA
The DNA here is from genome assembly GCF_000001405.40 of Homo sapiens. Classification (NCBI taxonomy): domain Eukaryota; kingdom Metazoa; phylum Chordata; class Mammalia; order Primates; family Hominidae; genus Homo; species Homo sapiens. The sequence goes on along the minus strand of NC_000014.9, from coordinate 72,088,425 downwards.
TAGTGATACGTGGTGAACGCTGAGCTGAGACCTCTCAGCCAGCAATCGGCGCAAGGCAAGAGAGCCTGCAAAATCCAGGAACCAGTCACACAGAAACACATTTGTGTGATAATGGGAAGGAGGAGTGCATCACAGATGGCACTTGCAGCTCTGATTCAAATGAGTGATGCATTTATTTCTTACCAACAAAATGTGCCCCGAAGGTTACTCATGAGCAAAGCGTGCCATTTAATCAAAACCCTACCCCCAAAGGTAGCTCAGGTGACTGGCAACACAGAGGACTGGGGCTGCATGTATTTTAAAAGACTAAGTTTCATCTCAAATGCAGAAGGAGATGGTACCAAAAGATTCTGGTCTTCTCTTTGCTCAGCCCAAAGCGCAAACTCCTCCACAGTGGTCTCTATCTGATGGCTCTCCCATTCTCATCTGACCTTTATTTCTGCCATGAGAAGGGAGAGATCTGTTGCCCTCTAAGGATCATAGCTATGAATCCAAAGAACTGGGAACAGCAGAAACTTTAAAGACCCCAGATTTGTGATGAATGAGCTCATCCATGCAATTTATTTCCAAGGATCCTGGATGATCAGAATTGATGGCTATCAATTCTGGAAAAACTATCATCACTGGCCCATTTGTGGGTCTTTTAAAACTTAGTTTTAATAATATAATGAAGAATTGCGAATCCATGATTTAGTCCAAAAATTACAACATTACCAGTATTTACTCATGGGCTCACCTCACCCCAACTATAACCACTATTCTGAATTTTGTCTGTTTTCTTCCTTAAAAAAAAAAAAAGTATATTGTTGAAGTTTGCAAGTTTCCAAATTTTATAACCAAGCTATAATACGCGTATTTCTCTGGAGCTTCCTTTTTCACTCACAGTCATTAGTAAGACTGACCCATGTTGTATGTATCTATAGTTTATTCATGTTTTACTACTTCACAATATTCCATTGCATTCCATTAAAAAAGTATATATATATATGCATTTCGGCCAGGTGCGGTGGCTCATACCTGTAATTCCAGCACTTTGGGAGGCCAAGGCGGGCAGATCACTTGAGGTAAGGAGTTCAAAACCAGCCTGGCCAATATGGCAAAACCCTGTCTCTACTAAAAATACAAAAATTAGCCGGGCATGGTAGCATGCACCTGTAATCCTAGCTACTTGGGAGGCTGAGGCAAGAGAATCACTTGAACCCAGGAGGCAGAAGTTGCAGTGAGCTAAGATCGTGGCACTGCACTCCAGCTTGAGCAACAGAGTGAGACTCCATCTCAAAATAATAATCATAATAATGTAAAATAAAATAAAAATGAATTTCATCTTATCTGATGAAAGAGGCAAAAATACTCAGAGAAAAATATTCTGTGTCGTCCTAACTTAACATTTTATAATTATGGTCCTAAGAACACATAGTAATAAACACTCCAGCGAAAATACATGGATTTAAGTATTTAATAGTCAAGACAATTGACTGTTTGGGGGATGGTGCTCATTAGCTACAACTATTCAGAGACCATTTAGCTGACTGGTTAGAAACTGAATCAAGAGGAAAACTCGCTTTTAACTTCCAGTCTGAAATCTTACATTTGTTATCCCATGCTTCTAGAACCCAGTTCACAAGATCTTTAGGTTTCCAGCCACTTACTTGCAAAGGAACTAGTTAGCTTCAGAGAGTTCAGGGAATATCTTCAAACAAATTCCATAAATCTCCTGCTCAGCATTTTGGATGTAGATTATTGGAGGCAGGGTGGTTCACAGTTGCAACCAGGAGATGGAAAGGTCCAGAGAGCAGATACTCCATCAAAAACATGGCTCAAATCAGTTACAAAATTGCTCTGCAGAGGGCTCAGGGAAGAATGAAATATGTTCTGCTATACTGTCATAAAGGGGAAAGAGAGATGCAAGAGCAAAGAAGGATAGAAGGCCTTATAAAAAAGCAAAATATCACTGCGATTATTTTCAAGGTTGCATAGTATTACAAAAATGCCCAGCTTAAAGTAAAATGTATGTACTGGTTCTTTTGGAGGTCAAGAGTCAGGTATGAATGCAAAGAAAAACACCAACAACCAGGGTGTCATAAATTCAAAATAACAAAGACAAATATTGTGGGAGAAAAACTCTAATGCCTTTAGACCAATGGAGGGCACAGGTGTCGAGCAAACGTCTCTGGACCCAGAACACTTTTGAAAAACGACTTCATCTCCCATCATGTTATCAGTAGGGCAAGGGAGGCAGAAACTGGTCAGCACAGTTGCATTTCTGGATGCACACAGCTTAACTGGAGTCTTTTCTAAGACAGTCATCATTTAGTGCATTTTATTCCTGACATTTTTTTAAATGACTTCAGCATATCTCAAAGGGAAGAGAGCAGAAATAAATGTCACAGCCTTGGCATCCTAAGCAAGAAGAGGACAGGAAAAAAAAGATGAATAGGAGGAAGTCCAGGGAAGGCAACTTTTTCTCATTATAACGAGGAAACAAAGGTAACCTGCTATGAGTCAGGAAATGTCTGCCTCACCAGCATCACTGTAGCTCCTCTGATGGCTTTTTTTTTTTTTTTTTTTTTTTGAGATGGTGTCTCACTCTGTCTCCCTGGCTGGAGTACAGTGGGGCAATCTGGGCTCACTGCAGCCTCCGCCTCCTGGGTTCAAGCGATTCTCCTGCCTCAGCCTCCTAAGTAGCTGGGATTACAAGTGTGCACCACCACACCCAGCTAATTTTTGTATTTTTAGTAGAGATGAGGTTTCGCCATGTTGGCCAGGCTGGTCTTGAACTCCTGACCTCAAATGATCCAACCGCCTTGGCCTCCCAAAGTGCTGGGATTACAGGCATAAGCCACCACACCCAGCCCTTCTGATGCTTATTATCTTGCTATGAAGCACAGCCCCAATTTCTACACTCTTGGAAGTAAGCTGTGTTTGCTGAAGGAATGATAAACCAACAAATCTCTGGGCTGGGACCCTGTCTCATATCTGGGCCCAGGTACTCAGTGCTTCCAGATGGAAGCCAAACCTTGTAGGGTATCCTAGGTTGATACCTCTGCTTTATCACTTAATACTGAGGGACACTGAGCAAGTGACTTAACCTCGCTGGACCACAATTTCTTCACACATAAATTAAGATAATACTGCAATAATCACCTAATACGATTAAAATAAAGTATGCCATTTATTGACCGCCTTCTGCTGTCATGCAGAAAGTGGTCGATAAATGTTAATATCTTTCCCTTCTGCTTTATTGATTTCTTACCCTCACGCCTTACTGTTGCAAAGATAATTACTCTCAGTAATTCTACACATATGGAGTATCCACCATTCTGTGAGGAAGAAAGTTATTCCAAGTCAGGCTCATAACAGGTCATTACCACACGTGCATGCTGATGATGAAGATAATGTTGCCCAAAGTGGTTGTCTTCTTACGTAGCAGATTTCCCCTGCAAATAAATCCAAGCTGTGGCCAGGGGATTGAAGCTTAAGCACCAAACGCACAAACACATTGTCCTCACAGAAAGGCTTCCCACCTGGTCAAATATTTTAAAGATTATACAGCTTAGTTTATTATTTGAGAACAACTCGCTCTTCAGGAACATGAGCAGCCACAATACTATACACTGAGCTGGTGAAAATTAAATTTAGTGTCTTCGTTTTTTATATATGTGCAAGTTTCAGCAGGAAAAAAAAAAAATCAATGAATGAGCTTTGACCAGACATATGCAGGCCTGAGAGATTTCACCTGATGCACTTCCCATTGATTGCTAAACACAATAAAAGCATGAGCAAATGCTAACTCTAGCTGCTACCAAAGTCATGAGTTCTCCTGAAGGGAGAAAGGGATCTATTTTTTATCTGAGTTACGGGGAATTGCAGGACCTGTAAGTGCCTGTAATTCAATTTCTTTATTTTACAAATGAGGTACCCAAAGCTGAAAACAGTCCAACAACTTTTCAAAGTTGAGCAATGGAGCTAGGATTTGCAGAGATCCTTAATTGCTTAATCCAGGATGTTCTAGGACAGGTGTCCCAAACCTCCAGGTCATGTACTGCTACCAGTCTGTGGCCTGTTAGGAACTGGGCTGCATAGCAGGAGGTGGGCGGTGGGTGAGTGAGCATTACCACCTGAGCCTCACCTCCTGTCAGATCAGTGGGGGCATTGGATTCTCATAGAAACGCAAACCATATTGTGAACTGCACATGCAAGGGATCTAGGTTGCCCACTCCTTATGAGAATCTAATGCCTGATGATCCGAGGGGAACAGTTTCATCCTGAAACCATCCTCCCCTCCCCTCAAGATCCAGGGAAAAATTGTCTTCCACAAAACTTGTCCTTAGTGCCAAAAAAAGCTGAGGACCACTGTTCTAGGATATTATTATTTCCAAAACCACTGTGTTTTTAGAAAGGAAGAAATGCAAACACCTATACAACATGGAATATCATTACATGACTATTTCTGGCAATTCTCAACTCCCAATGCTTGGATTTATAAGTACTAGTGAACCTCTCTGTGAAGCTTGAATGATCTCCCTACCTGTATTCCAGACTACCCCAGACCCCAAGTACAAGACTGATGGGCAATCAATGTTTAATTCGTGCCATTTTCCCCAAGCAACATTTCTTTTGGCTGCCAGTCAAGCAACACACAGCCTCACAGATATTCTTTTATAAATACCTTCTCAAATTCATTAGAATTATCTTTAGCAGAAAGTTTAACAGGCAAGAAGACTAGGAATGAATTAGAAAAACATGAAATTCAATGTGGTTGGTTAATTTTTAGTAGCCTAAAACCCACAAATCCGAGCTTCCCTTTCTGAGCAGCTCAGAAGACCAGCTCCATCCGAGGGACGTCATGGCAGTGGGCATTCCCAGTGGGCTACACAACATCCACATAGCCCCTCCTTAGCCCTGTGCTTCAGTGAAAAACAGCCCTTTCCTTGGCCCTGAAGGGTGAGATCCTAACTGGTCTATGTTAAGGCTTCTCAACCTTGACACTATTAACATTTGAATCAGATCATTCTGTATTGTGGGAAGCATCCCATGCACTGTAGAAGGCTTAGCAGTGTCTGTGGCCTCTACCCACTAGATACCAGTAGTAGGGGACCCCAGCGAGCACAAAGATGTTTCCAGACTTGGCTAAATGTCTTCTGGAGGTAAAACTCCACCTGGTTGGGAACCGTTGATCTATGTCAGATCAATCTGTGTCAGATTCAATAGAATTCCCGTGAATTCTATTCTTTCTTTCCACCAGTTGGTACAAGAATGAGCGTATGAGTGAATTGTGGCTGAGACCTTATAGGCAAGTTTTCTAGGGAGATTCTGGAAAAGACTTTCTCACTTCTAAATAAGAAACACAAAAGGCAAATGGCATTTCTTATTCTTGAGGACACTGGTACATCTAGAGGTATGTACACAGGTGTAAGTACACCTCAAATTTCTATACCCACCATGTGATTACATGATGGCTTGGATTGAGGCAAAGCTGAGTAGCCTTTTGTGTGAGATGAGCAAATGTCTTCCCTCTTTAAGCCAATTTGAGTTGGGGTTTTTTGTAACTTGGAGCCAAAAGCATCCTGATGTAGTATCCCTATTGCATTGTATGTTACAAGTATTTATGAAACAATATTGACATTCAGGACTCAATTTCCATGACACTGTGAAATATGCTTATTTCCCCCAAGAACTTCCGGTTTTTTTCCCATCATTTGCGAATTTTAATTATTACTTTAATTTTGAAAACCAACGTAGTATATAATTTTTTATTTATAATTGACATATAATAACTAACTATATATATGTATGGGGTACAACATGATGATTCAATACTTTTATAAATTGTGTAATTATCAAATTAGGGTAATTAGTATATCTGCCACCTTAAACATTTATCATTAAACTATCATCTAATAGTTTAATAAACAAATTCAGTAAAGTTGCAGGATACAAAATCAACATACAAAACTCAGAGGTGTTTCTATACACCAGTAATGAATTACCTGAAAAAGAAATCAAGAAAGCAATCTTTTTTCAATAGCTACAAATAAAAAATACCTAAGAATGAATATAACCAAAGAGGTAAAAGAACTCTACAATGAAAACTATAAAACATGGATGAAATTAATTGAAGATACAAGAAATGAAAAGATATCCCATATTCACAAATTAGAAGAATATTGTCAAAATGTCCATACTACCCAAAGGGATCTAAAGATGCAATTAATCTTTATCACAATACCAATGACATGCTTCACAGAAATTTTTTTTTAAATCCTAAAATTCATATGGAACCACAAAAGACCCCAAATAGCCCCTAGAATTTCCTTCTCCTGCTCTGGCATGTCTCATATTTCATTATCCTCCAATTCATGAGCAACTCTCTAAGTACTATTAAGAAATAACTGAATGACTTTAACTCCAGTCTTCTAGGCATTTTAAAATATAACCATACTGTTAAAAAAAGATCTAAAACAAATATGACAAAAGATTATCTTTTTAACTCTCTGCTTGGGCTAAATGAGAACTTTCCGCATTATTTTCTGTACTTTCTACATTTTTTAGGAAAAAAAAAGTAAAAAATTACGAGAAGAAGTAGGTGTGGTAATAATATTTAAAAGTGGAAGAAAGCTTCACTGGTTTTAAAACTTCGGTTTTCAGTTTGAAGTTTTTGCTGAGTTGAAGATAGACTTGCATTTTTAGCATAAAAAGGCTCAGACATTCTAGTCAGGCTAAATAAAAAAGACATCTGGACATATTCTAGAGAAATTTCTTCAAAGACAAAGAGAAAAATTCTACAGCCTTCCATTCAGACAAGAGAAGTAAGTTAAAAAGGGAAAATAATTAGTCTACCATCAGACTTCTCGTCTGCAATGCTTGACCACAGATAACAATAGAACAGTGTTCACACACATCTGAATAAAGAGAACTGCAATCCAAGACCAGAACAGCAGAAATACATATTTGAGGAGGAAAAGATAATTTAGAAACAAACTCAAGAAAGTATACCAATACTGGTATCTAAGAAAGCATCTCAATCAAATAAAAAGTAAACAGAAAAGATCTCAAGAAGATAAAATATGTAAGAATTAGTGCTGATGCAGCATTTCCACATACAACAAACTATCTGAAAAAGAAATTAATAAAACAATCCCATTCGCAATAGCAAAAAAATAAATAAATAAAGTACTTAGGGGTAAATTTAACCAGGAATTGAAAAATCTGTACACTGAAAACTATATGACAGTGATGAATGAACTTGAAGACACACATGTATGGAAAGATATCCTGTACTCATGGACTGGAATAATTAACATTGGTAAAATGTCCATACTACCTAAAGCAATCTACAGATTCAAAGTCTTTATCAAAATTCCAATGATATTTTCACAGAAATAGAAAAAGCAATCCTAAAATTCATATGGAACCACAAAAGACCCCAAAGAGCCAAGCAATCTTGAGCAAAAAGAACAAAGGTGGAGACATCACACTACCTGATTTCAAAAACTACTACAAAGCTACAGTAATCAAAATGCATGGTACTGCCATAAAAACAGACACTTAGGCCAATGGAACAAGGTAGAAAGCCCAGAAATAAATCCACATAGTCAATGGTCAATAGATTTTTTTACAAAGGTACCAAGAACACACATGGGGAAAAGACTGTCTCTTAAATAAATGGTGTTGGGAAAACTGGATATCCACATACAGAAAAATGAATTGGACCCTCATCTCATACCATATACAAGAACTAACTCAAAGTGGATTAAAGACTTAAACCTAAGATTCGAAACTGTAAAATTACTAGAAGAAAACACAGGGGAAAAGCTCCAAGACACTAGTCTGGGCAATAATTTTTTGATCAGGTTCTAAAAGCACAGGCAACAAAAGCAAAAAATAGATAAGTGGGATTACATCAAACTAAAAAGCTTCTGCACAGCAAAGGAAACAACAAAGTAGACAATCTATAGAATGGGAGAATATATTTGCAAATCATAATCTGATAGGGATTAATACCCAAAATGTATAAGGAATGCGAACAACTTAATAGCAAGAAAGTAAATAACAATTTTTAAAATGGGCAAAGGACCTCAATAGACATTTCTCAAAAGAAGACATATGAATGGCCAACAGGTATATGAAAAAAAAATAACAACACTAATCAGGAAAATGCAAATTAAGACCACAATGAGATATCACTTCACACCTGTTCGAATGGCTGTTATCAAAAAGACGAAAGATAATGTGTGGCTAGGATATAGAGAAAAGGGAATCTTTGTACACTGCTCATGTAAATGCACATTAGTACAGCTATTATGGAAATGGTCTGAAGGTCCTTCAAAAAATGAGAAACAGAACCACCATATGATACAGCAATCCAATCCCTGAGTATATACCCAAAGGAATTGAAATCAGTGTGCTGAAGAGTTGCCTGCACTCCCGTGTTCATTGTAGCATTAGTCACAATAATCAAAGTATGGGATCCACCTAAGTGTTCAAAAACAAACAAATGGGTAAAGGAAATGTGGTATGTGTATACAACAGAATACTACTCAGCCTTAAAAAAGAAGGATATCTGTCATTTATGACAACATGGTCAACCTGGAGGACATTAATGTTAAGTGAAAAAGGAACCAGGCATAGAAAGATAAATATCACATGATCTCACTCATGTAGAATAAAAAAAGTTGAACTCATAGGAACAGAGTTCAAACAGTGGTTACCAGAGTCTAGAGGAGGTAAGGGGACTGAGGAGATGTTGGGTAAAGGACAAAAAATTTCAGTGAGGTATGAAGAATGAGTTAAAAGATCCGTTATACACCATGGTGACTACAGTTAATAACAATGTATTTGAAAGTTGCTGGGTGGGTGACTTCTAGGTGTTCTCACTAGGTGTTCTCACAAAAAAATGATAAGTCTGTGAGGTGAGGCATGTGTTAATTAGCTTACCTTAGCCAGTGCACAATGCCTACATATATCAAAGCATCATGTTGTATACATAAATATATACAATTTTCATTTGTCAGTTAAGATAAATAAAACTGTAAAAGAATAGTGCTGAGCAATATCTTTATAAAAATAAATATATGATAATATAGCTAAGTCTACACAGATAATATATGTGACTAGTGATATGTTTAAAAAGCTTTGATTCTTTAAACAGAGGCATGCTGTAGAAAAAAATTTAATAATATCTTAAAAGTAAAATTCTAAATTATTTCAAAAAGCTCCAGAATTTTCAAGGAAGAAATAGGGGGAAAAAAAAAAGGCACAAAGGCCCTCTAAATATCCTCTCTCAGTTAGGGAGAATTCATGGGTTTGGATGCAGTAGTAAACACTTTAGCTGAGGGAGGGCATCTAGGTGTCCTTTAATTTTGGTACATCAGTTGAGAAATACAGTTTGATATATGACTGTTAAAAATAGGAAGATGAGCATTGGCAAAATAGATATATTTAACTGAGTTAACAAATTAATAGGGTTAAAAGAGATTTACAGATTCTGATAAATCTAGTACAAGTATAGAAGGAGAAAAGAGAAACAAAATATTAAAATAATAAATATAAGGGAAGATGTAAGAAATAAAATCAAAATATAAGCTAAAACCGTGATGGGTAGATAAAGTTGGAGGCTTGGATTCAGAAGAATAATGAAGAGGATCCTAAGTGTAACATCAGGCTAGGTGTATTAGGCTATTCTCACACTGCTATAAAGAAATACCTGGCCGGGCGCAGTGGCTCACGCCTGTAATCCCAGCACTTTGGGAGGCCAAGGCAGGTGGATCACCTGAGGTCAGGAATTCGAGACCAGCCTGGCTAACGTATAGTGAAACCCCGTCTCTACTAAAAAAATACAAAAATTAGCTAGGCGTGGTGACGGGCGCCTGTAATCCCAGCTACTTGGGAAGCTGAGGCGGGAGAATCACTTGAACCTGGGAGGCGGAGGTTGCAGTGAGCTGAGATGGCGCCACTGCACTCTAGCCTGGACGACAGAGCAAGACTCCATCTCTTAAAAAAAAAAGAAAGAAAGAAAAGAATAAAAGAAAAGAAATACCTGAGACTGGGTAATTTATAAAGGAAGATTTAATTGACTCATGGTTCTGCAGGCTGTACAGGAAGTATGGTGGCTTCTGCTTCTGGAGAGGCCTCAGGAAACTTAGAATTATGGCAAAAGACAAAGGGGAAGCATCCTCACCTTACATGGCCGGTGCAAGAGCAAGGGGTTTGGGGAGGTGCCACACACTTTTTAACAACCAGATCCCATGAGAACTCACTATCATAAGAACAGCACAAAGTGGAGGGTGCTAAGCCATTCATAAGAAGCCTCCCCATGATCTAATCACCTCCCACCAGGCCCTACTGCCAGCAGTGGGGACCACGATCGGACATGAGATTTGGTGGGGACAGAGATCCAAACCATACCACTAAGACATTTTAGGGTTGAAGAGCCATCAGTGGGAGAAAAATACTGGTAGAGGGGGATCTGAGAATTTTGGTACTATTCTTGAGAATCTGAATGTACTTAGAGGGATAAAGACAGACAATTCCTGTACTCTAACTTAAATTAGAAGATATAATACTTCAAATTCTCCCATGAATTAGCTAAAAATTTAATGCACTCTAAATACTAATACCCCTAGGGGTTTTCTTGAAACTTTACGTGATGTTTAACATTGATTTGAAAAAATAATCATTGAAAAAGAGGCTGAAAATTTGTTTAGCAAAAGGGCAGAATAGGTGTGCTTGTTCTTTAGATGTAAGTATGTTGCCTGCAGTAGTCAAGACAGTAAGGAACAGGCACAAAAAAAAGACAGGCAGATTAAAGAAACAGAATTAAAGGGCTTCAAAATAGAACAAATTAGGCAAGAGTGTTTAGTAAATATTAAAAGTGACATTTCAACATCATTTTCCAACGAGTTGATAACTCTGGGGTGGAAAAGGGCTTTCAATGCATGCCATCAAAGCCAGAAATAATATAGAAAAGGACTGAAAGATATGATGACATAAAATTTAGCATTTATGAAGGAACGAAAAAAAACTAAACAAAGGTTAAAAGACTAATAGAAAACATGAGAGAATATTTGTACTATTACTGTAAAATAGGCAAAAATTAACATCCTTTTTATATAGAGAGCCATTACAAATCAGTAGGAAACCCCTCAATGGACAAGTTAGCAAAACTATTAAGATGGAATTCATACACATTAGTACAATAAAGATATGGAAAGGTGTTCAATTATACCAATAAATAATTACAAATCAATATAAGTTTTCATTTATCTTAAAATACATACAACTTTCATACAAAGTTTGAAAGGGTTATAAATAACCAGTGTTGGCAAGGCTCTGGAAAAAGGGAATTCTAATGCCCTGTTACAGGAATGTAAATTGGTACATTTACATCATTTCCTGTAGGATAATGTGACTATATATACAGCTTTATATAATTTGGCTATATATATATAACATTTATATATATATATATATAAAATTTGGCTGTATATGTATAATTTGGCTATTTATAGGTATATTTGGATATATGCATATAAAATAATTTGACTATAGATAGCCAAATTTTATAGACAGTATAGCCTAATTATGTATACATAGGCCAGGCCCAGTGGTTCACACCTATAATCCCAATACTTTGGGAGGCTGAGGTGGGAGGATTACTTGAGCCCAAGGAGTCTGAAACCAGCCTGGGCAACATAGTAAGACCATGTCTCTACAAAACGAGATTTTAAACTCAGCTGGCATGATGGCACGTGTCTATAGTCCCAGCTACTCAGGAGGTTTAGGTGGGAGGATTGCTTGAGCCCAGGAGGTAGAGGCTGCAGTGAACAATGATCATGCCACTGCATTTCAGTCTGGGTGACAGAGTGAAACGCTGTCTCAAAAAAAAGTGTGTATAGATATGTATATGAATGTTAAATGTACATATATTTTTAGCCAGTAATCTTCCTTCTAGAGATAAATCCCGAACAAAAGGATATTCACTGGAGTGTTCATTAGATTTTGAAAAACAGAAAAGAAATACCAAACAGTTGATTAAATAAGGGACATCCATGTAATGCAATGCTATCTATTAAAAACTATACTGAATAGGAGAAATGAAAATAATTGAGATTCAGAAATGGAAAAATAAAACTTGTAAGGTCAGTAAGAGTGAAAAAGCCAAGAACAGAAAAGGAACAGCTATAGAATATTTTCTCCTCTTTCAATCATGGCGGAGTGAAGAACAGGCTAAGGTGCCTGTGGAGGGCGCACGCTGCTCTGGATGGCCCATCCTCCCTCTAGTAATGGCATGACAAAAAGAAGGAGCAAAATGTAAACGCTGTAAAGATAGTTAAAAGTCAAGTCACATGTGGTCTCCCAGGACTGCTTAGAGAGAATGTCTAGGTAGGAGTTTGGGAGGGTTTTATTGTCTGGAAAACAAAAGGTTTCAGAATTGGAAGGAAGAATTTGAGGAATGTATCAAGGCTAGCCAGAGCCTTGTGTCAGAAGAGCTCCAGGATATCACCAGCATCTTGCTCTTCCCACGGACTTTGGTCAGACGAATAGAGACAACTGATGAGGTTTTAGCATATTTGCAGCAGCCTGCCATTTCCAACACTGACACTGCCGTCCGGAGGTCACGTAAGGTACCAGGACAGAAAGAGGGAGGCATTCATCCTGGACCTCCAGAGGCTGGGGTGGGACTTGAACAACTGCAGCTTTGTATGAATATAGAGAGAGAACATCTGCAAGGAAAAATGTCAGCCTATGAACACAGAAAAAAACTGTACAAGTAAATAACAAGATGTTAACAAGAGTGATTACTTCTAGGTGGTGGCATCACAGGTCATTTTCTCTGGTCCTTTACTGCCTCTCTTTTATAGTGAACATGTCATATATTTATAATAAAAAGTATCCCATTCTATTTTGTGGGAAAGAAAAGACAGACTAGATTATGGGAAAGACAAAATATAAAAGAGCTTGATTTAGGTACCATCTTCATCTTAAGTCTAGTCACAGTTCAGGCATGATAAATACATACACACCATAAAATTGTCAAATGCAAGGCTGTATCGTATTTACTTATCTTGTTGGGTATACCAATAATGAATAAATAAATGAATATAGGAAATAAGGAAACCGAGTCTTCACAATGGAAACAAAGTAATTAAATTACATTTCATAAATGCCGAGTAGCATAGTGTCACAAGTCCTGGTTTACTTTTAAACACCATGGGAAAATGGGCGAGTTTTCTAATGATAATATGCCTAATTGGAGAAATCAGACTGAGAAAAATAATCAGAAACTATATCTGTGCATGCCCTTCAACACAACAAAAAAGGCAAAGCCACATCCAGTATGGAGGCAAAGGCTTAGAGAACATGGCAGATTTCTCAAGAAAATCCTGAACAAAACATTATTTGCATTACAAAAAGATCCTTCACTTTACTAAAATATTTCTTTTTAAAGGCAGTTCATTTAAAAGTATGTTTCCACATCAGTAAGAATGGAAGCTAAATAAAGGGCCTGGAGTCAGGGATATTGACAGCTGAAGACAAAACAGAACTGAGAATAAAGTTTCTCTGAAATGATCAAATAGTTTAAAGAAAAAACAGAATATGATCTCCAAATGCAACCTCTGTTGATGACTGTCTTACTTGCCCACTTGAGAGATAAATAAAAATGTAAAAGCAATGCACAAAAACATTTACACCCTCTTGCATATGAGATAGGATAGAAACAAGTGGGGGGATGCTGGATAACTGAAAAAATAGCATTGAGCATGTAGATGCTCGGAAAAACAGGCTCTACACTGGTACAACCTCAAAAGGTTATACAACTTAGGTTAATAGAGATTTCCTCTGAAAATCTGACTATTTTCAACAATAATGGTATGTGTGAAATTATTATAAAGGTGCTAGTTTCCAGTTTAAAGAAATGCTCAATTGGCCAGGCATGGTGGCTCATGTCTGTAATCCCAACATTTTGGGAGGTCAAGGCAAGAGAATTGCTTGAGGCCAGGAGTTCAAGACCAGCCTGAGCAACAGAGCTAGACCCTGTCTCTACCCACCCCTACAAAAAATCAGCTAGGTATGGTGGCAAGCACCTATAGTCCCAGCTACTCAGGAAGCTGAGGCAGGAGATCCCTTGAGTCTAGAAGTTTGAGGCTGCAGTGCGCTATGATCACACCACTGCATTCCAGTCTGAGCGGCAGAGCGAGACCCTGCCTCATAGAAAAATAAATAAGAAATGCTGACTCTTGTACTACCATTTTTTCTGTCTGTTATGGTAGGAAGCACTTTCTCCAGTCTACCTGCAAGCTGTCAGTCATTCCTCTGCAAATATCTTGATTTAATTTCTGCAGTCTTTTGGAAACAAACACCTTAAATGATTCCAACAGATATCTGCTAAGTTGACAGGGTGATTAGAAATAACTTTTAAATAAAACCATGGAGAAAAAAATTAAACAAAGCCAAGAAAACACCAAAGTGGGCTTAGTACTAGGCAAAATTTGATTTAATTTAAAATCTTAGCCCCCAAGATACTTTTGAGAGAATATCCAATAATAGTAATAATTTTTTCTTAGTCTACTTAAAATAGCTCACAGTAAAGGACTATTTTGTGCCAGTCACTATTCCAAGCATTTTATTAATATGTATATATTATACAGCAGGTCCTACAGTAACATTGTTTCATTATAAAATTTGTGAGAAAAAAAAATTTATTCCAGCCAAGGCCATTGTCTGTGTGGAGGTTGCATGTTCTCACCACATCTGCATGGATTTTCTTCACATTCTCCACTTCCCAAAGCTGTGCCCATTAGGTGAACTGGCATGTCTAAGTGGTCCCAGTGTGAGTGTGGATGAGCGTGAGTGTGCCCTGTGATGGGATGGTGTCCTGTCCTTGGCTGGTCCCACCTTGCACCCTGAGCTGCCAGGACAGGCTCGGACCACCCACTATTCTGGAGTCGAATAATTGAGTAAATGATTGAATTAATCTTTCTTAAATGTATGTATAACCTAGATTTCTCTCAGTGTTTAATATTAGAAATGTTTTGGTCTTTATGTAGAAGTCTGATAATACTTTTAGGACCAAAAATATGCTGCAGGAACTTAACTCTCATTTATGTCAATTAATCTATGGTAATACCGGTTTTGTTATACATCGTTTCACTTAAAAGTTGCAGTTTCCAATAACCTATAGACAACGTTAAATAAGGACTTACTGTACCCCTTTAATCCTCATAACAATGCTCTGAGATGCAGACAGTATTTTTATCATTCATCCCCATTTTACAGATGAAGACATAAAGAAACGTTAACAAAACTTAACTAAGGCCACACATCTAGTGAGTGGCAGAAGGAGGATTTGAACCCCACCAATCTGAATGTGGCACGCACATAATCAATGACTATCGAGTAATCTTCAAGCTTGGCTACACATTAGATCACCTGGAGAAATTTTAAAACTCCTGGTGCCCCAGACGAGATAAATCAGAGCTTATGGGAGTGATCCCCAGGCAGCAGTATTTTTTAAAGCTCCTCAGGTTGTCCAATGTGCAGCCACATTGGAGAACGACAGCACGATACCTATTGCTCTAATAATTACAAGACTACCTTTGACTTTAATGTGATGCTGCTTAATATATTTTGACATAAAAATTAGCATTGATTTAAAATTAACTTAATCCGTAAGACATATATTAAGTTGCTTAATTAAGTGAAGGACCAGTGATTACCTAAAAGGCCTGTGAACTAATAAGTAAACCACTGCCTCCTCAGACCAGAGCTTCTGCTTCCCCTAAGTGCTCTCTGCCTCCTAATATAAAACACAAACAGCCAAGAACAGTGGCTCACACCTGTAATCCCAGCACTTTGGGAGGCCGGGGCAGGTGGATCACCTGAGGTCAGGAGATCGACACCATCCTGGCTAACACGGTGATACCCCGTCTGTACTAAAAATACAAAAAATTAGCCGGGCATGGTGGCACACACCTGTAGTCCCAGCACTCAGAAGGCTGAGGCAGGAGAATTGCTTGAACCCAAGAGGCAGAGGTTGCAGTGAGCCGAGATTGCGCCACCGCACTCCAGCCTGGCGACAGAGCGAGACTCCATCTCAAAAAAAAAAAAAACAAACAAACTACACACACACAAACAAGCTTCCTAGACCTACATCCACTTCCCAAAATAAAATGAGGGTTTTAGATTAGAGAAGGAGAAGGTCCATTGAGAATAAGATTGTGGGACCTTGATCAAGACCCTTAACCTCTCCATGCTTTAGTTCACTCCTCCATGAAAGGGGCTTAACAACAGCACCTGCCCGAAGCATGGTGGAGAGAACTAAATGGGACAATGCTTGCCATGTGCTTAGCACTGGGCCTGAAACACAGGAAGCTGCAAGAGAAATTTCTGCTTTTTAAATTTGTACTAAGGTTAAAAAAATTTACAAGTATTACACCTGATTGTTACAGAGAAGGAACTTAAATATGGCACTGAGAACAATAAATCTGCAATTCCTGTAAGTCAGAACAATGCAAAAGCAGTTGATGTGGCCTATAACACAGAGATTGCTATGAAACATGAAAGATAATACAAGACATCGTGAAAACATTTAATTCTATATGTTCTGTTCATATTTCTGCAAATAATTATGATTATTTTCAAATGTAGCAATATGAAGAATGTAATATATATGTTGCCATGGCTAATTTCTATTCTGAGTCTACTAGAGTATTGCATAAGTACCTAAATGACCAGACAAACATGTATGACTACGAATATGCACATAGATATGTTAATTTTAAAAAACAAGTTATAACAACTAAACTAAGAAGTATTAAGTCCACCCACCTAATAGGCAAGAATTAAGAAACCTGACAATACTAAGAATTGGTAAGGACATGGAGCCACAGAAACTCTTGTGTACCGCTAATGGAAGCATAATTTGTTACAACTACTTTGGAAAGCCATTTGTAATTACCTAGTAAGGTACAACACATGCTTACTCAATGAATCATCAATTCTACCCCCAGGAATATATTCTAGAGAAAATCCTGGACAATGCACCAGAAGACATGTACGAGAGTGTTCTTAGCAGCAAAACTGGAAAACTCCAATAGCAAAAATTGGAAAGAATCCAAAAGTCCATCAACAGTGGAATCTGAATAGTTAAATTGTGTTGAATAGCTAAAGAAATTCATATATTGGTATAAAGTAAATATGAACGAACCATACTCCATATAGAAATGTTGCGGGAAACCAAATTGCAAAAGATTACATAAGTTATTCAATTCACATAATGTTTAAAAATAAGGAAGCACTAAAGAATACATTGTTTATTGATACATACATAGGTGGTAGAACTAAAAAAAAATCAAAGGCGACTACATCCAGCTGGTCCAATATATCTGGTAATTTACCCTGACCTACATTTTTGCTGAAAACCATGAGAGGAGATGAATAAAATATTTTAAATGTTTTATTTAAATGCATCAATGAGTTGTAACAAGGGAGTAATTAACACTCAACGGTGAAATACACACGCACAAAACATACATATGTATACATAACATATATTCATACACATGCATACATACATACAATCCCTGCGAAGTAAGTTAAGCACTGAAGCTGGCTTTTGCCTTGGGCCACTTGTTTAACTCCAGAGTACTTGAGCCTAGGTTTAAGGCCTACCAGACAGAACCATAAGGAACAGGAAGCTTGCTGAAATCCATCCAGTGCTCCCTTTAACAAGCTGAGTGCCTGCATCAATTTAGAGTGGAGCCACATGGGCTAGCAGAAGCCCTGCCCACAGGATTCAGGGTTCAGAGTTCAGGGTGAAACAAAGCCCAGGGCCTGCCAAAGATAGGATGGCTAAAAGGATCTCATCTCCAGCAGCACCACCACCAACACCAGGAACAGTAAGTCAAGCTACATTCCTGGAGTGCAAGGAAACTTGCCTGTCTCAAATCTTGGCCATGGATGGAAGAAGAAAAAAATCAAACCTGAGAATTTACTATAATAAGTGAAAACTCATATGAGTTTGCAGTGCGAGTTCATACAGCTCTTAGAGTCCCAAAACCCTGAAGCCAAAAATTTAATGTGAAGAGTCACAGTTGGTAATAACCCAGGCACATAGCAGAAGCAACCTTAAATACTTTCTAGGAGAATCCTTCTGTAACTCAGACCTGGAAGAATCCTCATAACAAAGCTGTAAGAAAAATGAACAGCTCACAGTGGAAAATTAATCAACTAATTAGCAAATTCTCTCCCTTACACACACACACAGAGAGAGACAGAGAGAGAGAGAGAGAAATAAAGCACAATGAATGACAGCCAGCAAATCAGATACACTAACAAAAAACAAAATGTATAGTTTAGTAACAGTTTAGAATAAGGGCAAAATAAAGACATTTTTAGACAAAATCCAAGACAGTTTGCCATGAAGAGACTCTCAGTTAAGGAAGGTCTAAAGAATCCAAGTTGAAGAAGGTGATTCCAAGTAGAAGGTCTAAAATGCAAAAATACGTAGTAAGCAACTAATGTGGCAAATATGTGAATAAATGTAGATAAACACCACTATTAAACAACCAAATCATATGTGATTGGCTGGGCGCAGTGGCCCACACCTGTAATCCCAGCACTTTGGGAGGCCAAGGCGGGCAGATTGCTGGAGCCCAGGAGTTCAAGACCAGCCTGGCCAACATGGTGAAACCCCGTCTCTACTAAAAATACAAAAATTAGCTGGGCATGGTGGTGTGTGCCTGTAGTCCCAGTTACTCTGGAGGCTGAGGTAGGAGGATCATCTGAGCCCAGGGAGGTCGAGGCTGCAATCATTGTGACTGCACCACTGCACTCCAGCCTGGCTTATGGAATGTGACCCTGTCTTGAAAAAAATAAGTTTTAAAAAATCATCTATGATTAATAATTTTTAAAAATAGAATAAACACACAACAAGAATAGTATACAGCACAAGAGAGGAAAACGGGAGTTAAAACATTCTGAGCTATTGTTTAGGAGGAAGAAAAGATACTGACTGAATTTAGACTTTTATAAATAAAGTATGCATGCTACAATTTCTAGGATTACTGCTAAAAGAGAGAAATAGGGTATATAACAAACTAGCAGAGGAAGGAATAGGATGAGAAAAAAAATATCAACCTAAAAGAAAAAGAGCCAGGTGCAGTGGCTCACGCCTGTAATCCTAGCACTTTGGGAGGCTGAGGCAGGTGGATCATTTGATATTAGGAGTTCAAGACCAGCCTGGCCAACGTGGTGAAACCCCATCTCTACTAAAAATACAAAATATTAGCCAGGCGTGGTGGCATGCACCTGTAATCCCAGCTACTCGGAGGCTTAGGTGGGAGAATCACTTGAAGCCAGGAGGCCAGAGGTTGCAGTGAGCCAAGATTGCGCCACTGCACTCCAGCCTGAGTGACAGACCAAGACTCCATCTCAAAAAAATAAATAAAACAAGAGAAAGAAACAAAAGTAGAATAAACAGAAAGTATAAAAGAGAAGAAATCCAAATATATCAAGAATATAATAAATGTAAATAAATAGACTAAATGATCCATTTAAAGTCAAGTATTATGAGACTTATTTTTAAAAAGAAAGAAAAAGAAAAGGAAGGAGGAGAGAAAGGAAGAGTGGGCCGGGCGCAGTGGCTCACACCTGTAATCCCAGCACTTTGGGAGGCCAAGGCACATATATCAACAGGTGGGGAGTTCAAGACCAGCCTAGCCAAGATGGTGAAATCCCATCTCTGGTAAAAATGCAAAAATTAGCCGGGTGTGGTGGCAGGCGCCTGTAATCCCAGCTACTCAGGAGGCTGAGGCAGAGAATTGCTTGAACCTGGGACGCAGAGGTTACAGCTAGCCAAGATTGCGCCACTGCACTCCAGCCTGGGCGACAAAGCGAGACTCTGTCTCAAAAAAAAAAAAAAAAATAGGAAGAGTGGGAGGGAGAGACGGAGGAAATATTGAATAAAAAATTAAAAAGAACTGATATTCGGCCAGATGCAGTGGCTCACGCCTGTAATCTCAGCACTTTGGGGGGCTGAGGTGGACAGATGGCCTGAGCTCACAAGTTCAAGACCAGCCTGGCCAACATGGCAAAACCCCCTCTCTGCAAAAAATACAAAAATTAGCTAGGTGTGGTGGTGCATGCCTGTAGTCCCAGCTACTCTGGAGGCTGAGGTGGGAGGATGGCTTGAACCCCACAAGGCAGAGGTTGCAGTGAGTCAAGATTGTACCACTGCACTCCAGCCTGGGTGATACCGTCAGATCTTGTCTCAAAAAAAAAAAAAATACATACATACATAATTAAATAAATGATATTAGTGTAATCTGGGCTCACTTTCCCAGGATTTAAACAACTAAAGTATCCCCCCATCAGCATTTCCCTTTAAGACTTGGAATCTAAATTAAAGCCAATATAATACTACAGCAATGCTTCTTGATCTTTAACGCACACATGAATCACCTGGGGATTCTATTAAAATGCAGATTGTGATTCAGCAGCTTCGTGGTAGCACCTGTGATTCTGCATGTCTAGCCAGCTCCCAAGGGATGTGGATGGTGCTGGCCTCTAGACCATCCTCACGGTGGCAAAATATTACAGCGTTGGTAAACACAGATTTAATGTGTTTAGAAGACTAATAAGGGAAATATAATCTAAAGAAAAGCAAGGCCAGACCTACAAGCTAGCTGTACGCGCAAACTTCAAAAGTTTTGAAAATAAACTTTATTTTATTTTATTTTTTTAAGTTTTTAAAGTTTGTTATCAAGACTTAATAGGAGGCAAAACCTTACCTGAACTGATGTGAAGTTATTCATAGTCTTTATCTCAGTGTGAATATTCAGTTTCACTACAGAAATATTAGTGTGTGTGATTAAAAAGTGCCGCACTAAACCCTGCTAAATCCAAATGTATTATTTTTCTAAACTCCAAAAAATCTTTTTTTAAATTTTACTTTAAGTTCTGGGATACATGTGCAGAACGTGCAGGTTTGTTACATAGGTATACATGTGCCAGGGCGTTTTGCTGCACCCATCAACCTATTATCTAGGTTTTAAGCCCCGCATGCATTAGGTATATTTCCTAATGCTCTCTCTCCCCTTGTCCTCCACCTCCCCGACAGGCCTTGGTGTGTGATGTTCCCCTCCCTGCATCCACGTGTTCTCATTGTTCGACTCCCACTTATGAATGAGAACATGCAGTGTTTGGTTTTCTGTTCCTGTGTTAGTTTGCTGGGAATGACGCATTACTGGCTATGTACCCCAAGGATTATAAATCATGCTGCTATAAAGACACATGCACACGTATGTTTATTGCAGCACTATTTACAATAGCAAAGACTTGGAACCAACCCAAATGCCCATGAATGATAGACTGGATAAAGAAAATGTGGCACATATACACCATGGAAAACTATGCAGCCATAAAAAAGAATGAGTTCATGTCCTTTGCAGGGACATGGATGAAGCTGGAAACCATCATTCTCAGCACAAAAATCTTAAATTCCAAAATACATCTGTCCCAGAGGTTTTGGATAAGGGACTTTGGAGCCACAGTGCATTTCTTTCATTCTTTGACTAATCAGACCTTTTGTGATCTTTACAAAAAAAAAAAAAAAATTGCCTCTAAAGTATAAGAACACCGGGAGAAGAAAAAATATATAATTATTCAGTAGTGTAATAATTATTCAGTATCGGAAACTGTATTTTTTTTCCTGTAAATTAAGTACTTAAATGAAATCCCAAGTCACTACTCCCTTGGGGTCTTATTTTTGTTATCTCAAGACAAAATAACACTGACCTAATTTCAGCTTTTAAGTGGACAGCCACAAACACCTTCCAGGCAGAGCTATTCCTTGGAGATGCCACTCTTTGAAAAGAGAAAGATGCCACATTAGCTTAAAAGCACCAAAAAAAAAAAAAAAAAACCCTTCTGACAAGATTAAATAAAATATATCTTTATATATAACATGTAAATTCCAGTTACAATTCTATTATCTTGTGTATTTAAAGAAAACACAATTTCAGTGAAACTAAAATTGCTAGTTGCTGGGCTTGAAGCAGTAACATACAGAGGTATATATAGACGTAAAAACCTTTAGAAAAAGCTTTAGCCCCTACAGAGTTTTTCCAAACTGTTACCTACCTTTGATTCCCAAAGCATGAAACCTGGAGAGATAGCAAAATCTCCAGTGACCCGTTCCCTCCCCACAGTCAAACCACAAAAGTACTTCTAAGGCAGTAATAAAGTGGTCACATCAGGCATTGCTACAATTGCTACTTCTGAAATCGAGGCATATTTTATAGAAGATATTTAAGTTTCACCTCCACAGAAAGAAGATATCTTCCCAAACATTTGCAGTACACACTGATCTCAGACCATAAGCAGATAGTTAACATCAATCAACAGGCAGAGACATGGCTTAATAATGAGGGCCACTTCATAAAAAATGATGCACATGAAGGGGAACATCACACTCTGGGGACTGTTGTGGGCTGGGGGGAGGGGGGGAGGGATAGCATCGGGAGATATACCTAATGCTAGATGATGAGTTAGTGGGTGCAGCACACCAGCATGGCACATGTATACATATGTAACTAACCTGCACATTGTGCACATGTACCCTAAAACTTAAAGTATAATAAAAAAATAAAATAAAATAAAATAAAATAATGAGGGCCACTTTCAAAAGCCAATTCATGTACAAATGACTTCCACTCTTTACTCCTCTGAAAACCCTCTGGGTTAAGGAGAAGCTTTGTTAAAGATCTGAAAATAAAGAAACATCTTTTATTAACCCCAATGACGTTTGAGGATCTGTTATTGTTGTTTTAAGGACAAGAAGAATATGGCAATAGAAAAAGATCATTGTAAAGGGAAGACATTTTATTGGGTAGTCAAGCATGGGTAAATTATAATAAACAATGAGTGAACCTGATCCTAATTCTGCCATATTAAACCAATAGTCATATTAAGACTTAAGGGATTGTGCATCATATACCCCAAAACATAAATCAATGTAGAAATCTATCTAAAATTATTTCAAGAAATAGCTGTTGCCTATAGTTTTGGGATAAAGCCTCTGGCAGATCCACAAACTTTGGCCTGTAAACCACTTGACAAAAACCAATAATGCAGGAAAAAATGCAATTTGTAACCCTGTTCCCCACTGTCCCCTGCTAAACTGAACAAAATAAAATAGGAAAATGAGAAACCAAAATGAAGCCAATGCTAGATGCTGAGATAACATTTTCAAAGTCTGCCAGTTGTATATTTAATAAAAGTGGCAATTATATTTGAGTTTCAATTCAGATGGCTCTGCTTCTAGACAATATATGTTAATCATTGGTAAAATTTCCCCTAAAAACACAATGTATGTGAAAACACCGCGGATTTTAAATAAATATGAAATGAATCTGACTATTATAATAGTTCTGGCCAGTAACCTCCAAGATACTACAAAATATAATGACAAGATTCATTTGTGACATTATATTTACATGGGTAAACACATTTTACCGTTGCCACATGATACCATTGCCACACTTCACCATTTTTATGTTTTCAAAGTTGTTTTTTTAATCACTGATGCTTCTCAAGATAAGTACACATGATAAACAGTAGAGAGATTTCTTTGTGTGTTATTATTTAGCAACCAAATAGATGACATCTATCCAACGATCTCTCAAAAGCTTCTTTTGTTGTACCTACTAAGACTTTATCTTCCAGTTTTATCTCCTCATTCAAGGCTTGGTGGCCCAACTGAAATGACAGCGCTGCAATCCTAGCCTGCTCGTTAAACTGCAACAAAGCAGTGAGATTCAGTGGAATCTAACAATCACTAAGTATTCACTTCTCACACGTCTCCTTTTGTGGGTGAAGACACAGAAATAGTTGACTAATTTTAATGACTTACCCAAGAATATCAGTGTGAATACCCTGGTACAAAATGAGTTGAACTCATGCTTGAAAAATACATTTTTCCCCAACCATGCAGCAAAAGTAAGTAATTTTTAAATGTCTCTTTTGAGATTAAGCTTGAGGAAAGCTGCCAACTTTTTATTTCAAAGGAATTTCCA
This sequence comes from Homo sapiens, assembly GCF_000001405.40. Classification (NCBI taxonomy): domain Eukaryota; kingdom Metazoa; phylum Chordata; class Mammalia; order Primates; family Hominidae; genus Homo; species Homo sapiens. The sequence goes on along the minus strand of NC_000014.9, from coordinate 72,064,348 downwards.
GCTCATTCCCTCTCATGCCTGTCAACAATTTGGCATCAGTGCCCTCTGGATCCATTGACTTGACCTCCTCTCCATGGTCCGTTCCCCACTTTATGTCTTCACCCTCCTCCTTCACCTCCTTCAGCCTGGTCTAGGGCACCACCCAAAAATCACTCCCTCCTCCTTCACCTCTTCCAGCCTGGCCTTTGGCACTCCCAAAAATTGCTCCCTTGCAAGTGCCCTACTGCACGGCTGCCCATCTCCACTTCCACATTATTCAGATTGCAAAACTATGACCATGATTACCTACGAGAGAATCCTTAGACTCTCTCCCTACACCACAGCAAATGACACAATCTAGAGAAAAACAAAGAACTACACTGGCTGATTTTGCTTTAAAGATATGATAGTAATCTCAATGTGCTTTCAGTTCTGCTCAGCAATCTTATTACACTTTCTTGGCCAACTTACACTCCTACTCCTAGAAATGACCCCTTACTCACACCCATCTGATGATCTTGATTCTATTTCTTAGAAAACAAAGGCAAGCAGAAGATAATAACAGTATCTTCCCATAAGTGTGTGCATTCACCTATATGTCTCCGTACAAATCTAGAACATGCAATGCCTTAACTCCAGCTAATGCAGCAGCCAACCCACCACTTACACTAGGTCCCATCCCCTCTTGCCTACTTAAGGAGATGCTTCTGTCAATTTCTTTATCTCTACTAAATAATGATCAGCTTTCAAGTGTAATATAACCCCCATCTTTAAAAAATTAAATTTTTCTGACTTCACATCCTAAATAGCTATCCTCCCTTACCTCTCACCCCACAGCAAAAATCTCTCAAGAAACGTATATCCTATCTTTATTTCCTCATCTCTTATTCTCACTTGAACCAGCTTCAATCAAGCTTGTGCCCCCACCCAATCAATGACATGATATTGTCAATGTCACCATGATCTCCATGCTGCTATATCCTGTGTTCCAGTCTCAGCCCAGGCCCTCAACCTCTCAGTAGTATTTTCATTTCTCATTTCTCCTTCCTCCTTGGCACTGTCTTCATGTAGCTGTGGATCACTTCACTTGTCTGGCTGTCCTCTCTCCTCAATGGCTGCTCCTTTTCGGTCCCCTTTACTGGTTCCTCTTCAGCTCTTCAACCTCTAACTGTTGGGAGCACCCCAGATTCAGTTCTTCAACATCTTTTCTCCTCTCGGTACCCTCCTTTCCTCAAGAATTTCATCCAGGCCAGGCGTGGTGGCGCATGATTGTAATCTCAGCACTTTGGAGGCCGAGGCGGGCAGATCACTTGAGGCCAGAAGTTCGGGATCAGCCTGGCCAACATGCCAAAACCCTGTCTCTGCTAAAAATACAGAAATTACCTGGGCGTGGTGGTGCACATCTGTAAATCTCAGCTACTCAGAGGCTGAGGCACGAATGCTTGAACCTGGGTGGCAGAGGGTGCAGTGAGTTGAGATCGTGCTACTGTACTCTAGCCCGGATGACAGAGCAAGACTATGTCTCAGAAACAAACAAACAAAAAAGAATCTCATCCAATCTCATGGATTCAAATCCACCTATCCATTGAATGACCAACCGCCTATCTCCAGTCCTAAACTTTCCCCTGAAGTCCAGGCTCACATATGCAATATGCAATGGCCACCTTCTCTTAAATAGGTAACAACATCTTGAACATTCTCCTCATCTGAGAAAATAGCATCATCAGTCAATCAGATGCTCAGGCCAAAGTCCACAACAAATCACAAAGTCCTAATAGCAATATTTTCAAAAGATATCTTGAACCCAACACATCTCACAACCACCACACTTGCCAACTGTGTCCAAACTCCATCATCTCCAATTTGGACTCATGCAAAAGTCTCCTTGCTGGTCTGTTTGTTTTCTTGCCCTCCACAGACTACATCAGTTTCCAACATAAAGCAGGTCATGGTTCTCTCACATTCAAAATCCCAGTGCCTTTTCATCAGAGGCAGGGCAGGCCCTGGTTCTGTGGCTCTTGACCACGTCTCTGGCTTCATCTCCTACCCACCTCTCCTCACTTGCTCACCCTTCTTCCAGCCACACTGGTCTCTTTGCTGTTCTTCAAACATCCTACTACATCCCTGCCTCAGGGTCTTTGAAATGGCTATTTATGCCACTTGAAGGATTCTTCCTCAGGGCAGTCACATGGCTTTTCTCCCTGCTTTCTTCAATTTCTTGTTCAAATGTCACCTTCTGAAAGCAGCCTTTCCTGACCACTCTATGTGAGATCACACACCTTGCACTGTCTGTCTCATTTCTCTGCTTTGTCTTTATAACTCTCATCATTGATACCACACTGTACCTTTCTTTGTTTGCTTATTACCCAATTCTCTCACTAAAATGTAAGACACAAAGTCAGAGGCTCTGTCTTGTTTCTTGCTGTACCAGCAGCATTGAGAGCTATGCCTGGTTTATACCAAATGCCCAATAAATGTTTGTGGAGTGAATCACCAAATAAAGAATGAATGAATTAGCAATTTCACCAATATTAGCCATGAGTATGTGTCGTCCCCACATACTAAAAAATAAAGAACTTTGATTAATAGACACCATCATAGCAAATCTGTACTGTTATAAATATTCTCATTCCATTTCCCATGCAGATTTTTAATATAAAAAGAACAATAAAAGATAACTCATAATTGGTCTTTTTTAAAGGTATCATGCATCTAGTGGCTTATTTGTAGCAAGTTTAATTCCTTGCATAGGTGTTTTGATCAATTGTGATCTGAAAGTGTCAAGGAAAAAAAAAAAGTTACTTTTCCAGTTGAAACCAGGGTCTCAGGAATATACTCAAAATCTCAATATTATGCTATAATCAGCTTGTCTCTTGTTCAGTAATGTGGCTAAATAAAGAGTACAGTTAAGCAGCTGGTTCCTTCTTCATTATGCAAACACATCTTCTCAACTATATTAAATCACAAGCTCCCTGAGTGTAAGGACACTTCTCTGATTCCCTATAAGAATCAGAATAGGTTAGGTTACACTGAGTATGCCAAATCACGGACCCTTATCTCAACAAAATCCCAACCAAAGGATACTGCTGAAGATATATGTCTAGTACAGGTTGTCAATAATTTATCTTACCACAGTCAATTAAGGACCCAGAAAACAAAGGGTCCATCTCAACACTCGCTTTCACAAACACTGTGGCAATGGGATGGGAACATGATGAATCATGCACTGGCTCTTAAAGCTTGCAACACTTTGCTCACATTTCATTAGCCACAGCAAGACACATGGCTCCCATCTACCTTCAGAGGAGGAGGGAAAGTGCAATCCTACAATGCTGCCAGAATATTTGCAGCCTTTAGGACTGCCACATTCCCCTTACAGGTCTTGAATAATAACTTCTCCATGATAACAGGTGAATACACTCCTGTTTACCTCTCTTCTACCTAGTCACATGTTTGAACACATAGATGGCAACCAATGGATAGACCCAAAAATCTCTGGAAAGAAGAAATGAAGGAGAAAGTTCATGCTAAAAAAATTAAAAGTAAAATTAAACTACATTACATTTTTTAGGAGGTCTACCAATAACAACCAAAAGCTCCCATCGCCAGGGCCTCAAATTTATTTCAGAATAAGACTTCAGTAAGCAAAACACTCTGCTGATGCGTCCTTGGCAATGCTTCTAATTTTGTAGGCACTTGGTGTAAGATCTTTCTTGGCTATAATCCAGGTTTAGCTGCATTCAGTCTATTTAAATAAAAACTGGCTCTGACCTCAGATGATTTCAACTTCAGCAAAGTGATTCAGAAGCCAAAGAAACAAGATAAGATTAATAAATAGCTAAAAAGACATTGGTAACTATACAGAAATTTGTATACGGTAGACTAAGTACCCATCATAAGAAAATGACAGACATGGCAGATAGAATATCTGCAGTATTCTAGTCTTTTATAGCTCAGGTTACATAAAAGCATATGAACCACAGCAAAAAAAAAAAAAAGGTGGGAGGGGTGGCGCAGGGGACAAGAATATATTAAAAAAGATTATAAGCAATTATGTAAATGAAGAGTAAATGAATAAATACTTGCAGGGAAATTATTTATATAACATACAAAATAACTATTACAGAGCTTTAATGTTCTATAAAAACCTGTGAACATTAGCACTCTACCAGCTCTTGATTCATATGAGATTTTAAATCACCAAAGACCTAATAGAAAGGAGTTGGATGACTGCTCCTGTTTGAGTCCCTGGCCCGACATCTCCTCATGGCACAGGACCTTGGTAGGTAGAGACGAACCCCGATGCATCTGAACAGTCATGCCTCTTCCATCGTGGAGACATAGTGAAAGTGTATAATGTAGGCAAACAAGGAAGTAAATCATTGAACAACGCACACTCCAGCAGAGGTCTCTCAGTCTGTTCAAGCCCAGCTACCATAACAAAATATCACAGACTGAGGGGCTTAAACAACACAGTTCTCAAGCCTGGAAAGTCCAAGATCAAGATCAGGCAGTGTCTGGCTTCTAGGGAGGCCTCCCTTCCTGGCTTGCAGATGGCCACCTTTCTGCCGAGTCCTTACATGACCTTTTCTCTGTGTTCACATGGCCTCTTATTATAAGGCCATGAATCCCATCAAGAGGGTCCCACCATCATGAGCTAATCTAACCTTACCCACCTCCCAAATGCCTCATCTCCAAATACCATCACACTGGGGGTTAGGGCTTCAACATAGGAACCTAGGGCTCACAGGCATTCCATCCATAACAAGAGGTAACACATGCCTTAACTGGGTGGCAGCGAAACAATGACCACTCTCTGAAGCATGTGTTCTAAACAGTACCAGGCTTAAAACACAAAACAGTTACCATATGGTACCTGTTTGAAGTGCCAGGATACCTCACAGTTAAATGAGAGCGCACCAGTAAGGCAAAAACTACCTAATTCAGCTTCTAAAAGAACATGTGACAAGTTATCATTAGACTCCATCCCAAAGTCCCTGCTCTTGTTCCATATTAAACCCTTCCAAATTGCATTAGGAGAACTTTTAAGTGATGGAGCAGATATACACATACAAGACTTCTAAACAAAGGCATTGTAAGAGCTGAAAAACTGCCATTCTGCTCTGGTTACCAAGATCCCTGAGAAAAGAGTATTGAAAATAAGCACAGCAGGAAGGCGCGGTGGCTCACGCCTGTAATCCCAGCACTGTGGGAGGCTGAGGCAGGCGGATCACTTGAGATCAGGAGTTCAAGACCAGCCTAGCTAACATGGCAAAACCCCGTCTCTACTAAAAATACAAAAATTAGCCAGGCATGGTGGCACCTGTAGTCCCGGCTACTTGGGAGGCTGAGGCACAAGAATCAGTTGAGCCCAGGAGGTAGAGGTTGCAGTGAGCCAAGATCACACCACTGTACTCCATCATGGGCAACAGAGCGAGACTCTGTCTCAGAAAAAATAAAAATAAAAATAAGTGCAGCTGTGAAGTGGCTGATATAAATTAACTACTTATTTGATGGTAGGCCCTGGGTTAATAGCATTCTTGGATGTAGTCTAATATAATATTCACAATAATCCATAATATGGGTAAAGAAACTGAGGTCCAGAAGTGTTAGATAATTGACACAACATCACATAGTCAAAAGTATCAGTCAGGTCTCAGACAAAGTTGTGCCTCCAGCCATGACTGGGAAACAATTTCAGGGCCATTCACTAGCTATAGGTCCATAAGTGAGTGACTTCATCTCTCTGAACTTCAATTTATTTATCTGCAAAATGAGAGCATTAGACTAGATGACAACTAATTATGTTTTTCTTTCTCAGGTTTTATGATACTCTTAAATAACAGTAGACAAAAAAAAAAACCCTTTATATACCTATTCCACAGAAGCTGTTATAAAGAATAAATTAATTAATGGATATAAAAGAATGTTTTTAATGTTGATAAATAACCATGTGATTTTAGAGTTCTGTCATCGTTTTATGACCAAAAAAAAGGCACCCTCAACTCTAACCAGCTGTCTTAAAATATTTAACACTGGAAAGAGAGTGTGGATGAGCATATACTCCCATTAAAGAAAACTACCTCAAAATGTATGCTCAATTGGCAGCTATTATATTGCATCAACTTAAAGATTTTTTGGAAGATGAGTATTCTAGCACAAGTTTTAAAAACCCCTGTTGAAGCCTCAGCACATCTGGGGAAGCTGGACTGATTGCAGGCACACCTTCTGCAAGCCAATGCCTCTGCTCTGGAAATACTTACATGGAAGAAGACAAGCAAAAAAAAAAAAAAACACCTCATAAACTGACAATATGATAGCCAGCATCACATAGCAGGATAAGCAAACACTTCCACCATGTGGGTTTAGTGGCAGTCACTCAGATATGTCATTCTTGCATGCAGAGATGGTGTGATCCTGAAGTAGAATTCAAAACAGAGGCTAGCACATCCTTCAAGAGACTTGGAAAGAGTATTTGGAGCTAATCCGGCATTGATTGCCAAGCCAGATGGAAACTCGACAGAGTGAAATTTTAACTTTCTGAACATCCTGAGAACTTGGAGGAGAGATCATGGGTGGCAGGTCTGTCTCTTGAGCTGCTGACTTTGTACCACCTCTGAGCAGTAAGTAGGAGCACAAAATGACGCGCAAAAGGCCCTACAATTAAGTTATTTAAGAAAAATTCACTGCAATCAAGTCTGCTAGTTTAATAATGAGTTAAAATGAGAACACTTAAAGGAAAGCACTTAAAGGAGGTGATAGGAAAGCAAAACTTCCTAGGAAGTATCTCAGCAGCGAGTATCATCATGGGAAACGCATTAACAGAGAGATAGATACACTTTGCATGTAGGCCAGCAGAACCAGTGGCTCTCCTGGAGCAAATACACTCAGAAATACCCAGATGGGAAGAGTAAGAGTGTAACCACAGATCCCATGACACCCTTCTTGTAGCAGCTACAGATACAAACTGGAATACACCCTTGACATCATAATAGGTAGACATAAATGTGCCTACAGAAGCAAACATTCTTTTTTTTTTTTTTTTTTTTTTTTTTTCAGATAGAGTCTCACTCTGTCACTCAGGCTAGAGTGCAATGGCACGATCTTAGCTCACTGAAACCTCTGCCTCCCAGGTTCAAGCAATTCACCTCCCTCAGCCTCCCAAGAAGCTGGGATTACAGGCACCTGCCACCACACCCAGCTAATTTTTGTATTTTTAGTAGAGATGGGGTTTCACCATGTTGCCTAGGCTGGTCTCGAACTCCTGACCTCAAGTGATCCGCCTGCCTCGGCCTTCCAAAGTGCTTGGATTACAAGTCGGAGCCACTGCTCCAGGCCGCAAACATTCTTAAGAGGACTGTCTCTACATACAAAAATATATCCCACAAGGCCAACACATATGATACCTTAGCATTTATTACAGGTAACATGAAAAGGATATGTAATTAATGAGAGTAATTATGAGGTTTTTGTGGCCAAATACAGACATAAACATGATCAAATGTTTCCTTGACAAGCTACCATCTGCTCACAAATGGAATTAAACTTAAAAGTTTATTGTGTTTCATGTAAACATATACAGCTGTATTACAGATGGTTGCAGATACAGTACAATATGAACATGATTAAAAATACATAGGCCAAAGGCCCAGATTTCATGGTAAAGTCCTCACTCTGTGGGGTGGCAGGGGAGGGAAACAAGCAATGAATATAAATTTTCTAAATGTGCACAGAAATACTTCCATCCACTTGTACATGAGTTTAGAAATAATTACTAAGGTTGCATAAAAGTGATTGTCAACTAAAGTCATTGTTTTAGGGTGAAATAAGAACAAAAATATAACACATTTGATTTTTTGCAAGCTCAATTTTTAATAAGAAATTCTCTCACGGGACCATGTTCAGAGTGTAACACACCTGAAGACTCACAGGTACGAGGTGGATTTGGGTAGGAGATTAAAGGCTGTTTTTTGATGAGGAGAGAAAGTCATGGCAGATTAAGAAAGAATGTAAGTATAGAGAAGATAACACATGTTCCAAAGCAGACTTTCCTAAATTCTGAGAGCCTTGTTGGAGGCATACTATGAGCAGGGCTGAGAGCTTACAGAGCAAAGGCTAGTCCCCTAGGGAGCTCTGTGACACGGCGCAGGCTTCTTAACTTCTCTGGGCTTCACATCCCCCCATCTGTAAATGAGAATACTGCTTATACTGTAGGATTATTATGAGGCAGTTTTTATCCAAAGGTGATTCTAGAACCACCTACATCATAATCACTTTGTTAGAACACAGATTCCCGGGGGCTCACGCCAAGACTTACTGAATCAAAATCCGCATTGTAAAACAAAACAAAATGCTTCCCAGGTGTTTCTTATGCACACTAAACTTTGAGATCCACAGTTATAAGAAAAAAATAAATGTCAAGCACAATTTCTAGCCCATACTAACTTTTATTGAATTTCTACTATTTACTTCTACCAACAACAAACACCAAAACAAAAACCAAAAAACTCTCAAAGGCTGCTGAGCTAGAAATTAGAGGCAAGAGGATTCTCCAAAATTATGCAAACTTTGTACTTTAGAAATGAGAAAAAGAACAATTAACAATATCAGGCTACCCTGAGCTTATGCTTGCTTGTCAAGATTTCTGTATTTTAAAGCAGTGATTCTCAACCTTGACTGCACGTTAGAATCACCTGGGAAGCTTTTATTTAAAAAAAAAAATCCCTATGTTCAATGCTGGGCTCCAAAGAAATCAGAGTCTCTGGAGGTGGGGTCCAGACATTAGCATTTTTTAAATGTTCCAAGGGATTCCACTGTGCAGAGGCAAGGTTTTCATATTTCTAGCGAGGGTGAGAAAAGAATGTCAACTACTAGTAGTGAGATAACTGGGAGAAAAATTTGGGTGCCATCAAACTAAGCAGGCATGATACTTTGTTTTCTAGCCTCTCTATGTGAAGGCAACCACATTCTATTTCCTACCTTTTTTCCTAAGGGATAGATAAAATACTTAAGAAGTATATCAGTAGATTTATAAACACAAAATTGGCAAAAAAAAAATTGATGTCTGAAAATACAAAGAGTTGGTGAAGAGGTGAACTGATAGGATCTTTTCTGCACCTCTGGTGGAAGTGTAAATGGATATAGCGACCCTGAAAGCGCTTTCCCATTCTTTTGTAAAGTTGAATGATTTCATACACCACAACACAGCAGTGGTTGCTGTACTTCCTCTAAGCATAGACACAAGGGAAACCTCGGCACATGCATGCCAGGAGACGCAAATGCTTACTAACAGCTCTGCTCATAGATACAAAAACAGGAAACACCCTGAATGCCCAATGACATGAGTATTGATAAATCATAGTATAACCTATACTAACATTTATAGAAAAACTGCAGTATAAGCACAAATAAAAATACTACACAGCAATGACAGCATGGATGAATCTTAGGAATATAAGGCTGAGTGAAACAGCAAGTCTCAAGAGATCATATAAGCCAGGGATGATACCTCTTCATAAAGTTCAAAGCCAGGCAAAATGAAACAATGTATTGCTTAAGGCTACATGTAGATATGTAGGGGTGAAGCAAGAGAATGATAAACAATGTTCAGAATGGTGGTTACCTCTGGTGGCAGAGGGATGGGGAGGTGAAGGAGTAAGATAAAGGAGAATTACAGAGATAGGGGTATAAAAGAATAATGTTCTGATTCTTAGATTAGGCATTGCACTCACAGGTTTTCATTTCAAATACAAGTAAAATGAAAGGAGATCATGCGTGGACAGTTGGTGGTTTGTCATGAACCAAGAATGGAAGGAAAAGAAATTTCCATCAGTAAAGACAACAGAATCCAATACCAATGAGAAAAAAAATTCAAGGGACGTTCAATGATTCCAATTAAAGTCAAATACTTAGTATGCTAGAATCATCCCATCTTTCAGGTTCCATCTTATTTTAGAAGCAAGAATCTCAAAACTGTCAGGCCAAGGTGTAGAACTGTCATCTTCGAGCACAGTGATTCCTCCACCTTTGCAGCCAAAGATGCCTCTGGTATAGTTAATTGAGCGAACTGTTATGAAAGAAGGAAAAACAAAACAAAACAAAACAAAACCTCCCAAACAATAGCCCCCAAAATCCAATGTATAATTTAACAATTCCCAGTTTTTTGAAGGTTATACTCTTTATATTTCTGTAAGGACTTAATATAATGTAATCTCTGACACAGTAGGAATCCTTCAGTATGATGGGTGTATCAGTCATCTTCATGTTGGTTGGAAAGGGAAGGATTATTTCACAGTATCCTCAACCTAAAAGATAAATGATAGAAGTTATGGAAATTGCTATTCTCTTCTCACCCCTATTCTTGTGATGTGAAATTAATCTCAACCATTCGGTCTTATCTCAATTTCCACCTTTTAAAACCAAGCGACAGGCTTAGTTCTTTTCCACTAGAAACTTTTGAAAATATGTTTTGACTTCCAGGAAGCATTTGAATACATAAGTGTAAGGTCAGCAATTTTGACAGGTGGCAGCCAGATACAGGACAGATCTGTTTAGCATTTGACTCAGCCAGTCTTTTTGAGATCAATTTCGTGGAGAGATTTTGAAGAGAATATTTCTCCTACACAACAAGGCTCTTATTAATTTGAAGACAGTGTTCTAGTTTCACCAAAAATAAATTCTTAAACTCCTACTTTGTATGACATAAAATGAAAACAGAAAAATAGGTTTGCCTACAGAAACATAATAGCCCTTAGCGGTGGTTTTCAAACTTTGGGGAGCCCCCAAGCCCCCAGGACATTATGCTAAATAAAATGCAGATTTCCAAGGCTCAGTCCAGGCTTACTGAATCAGAATCTGGAGGGTAGGATCAGGATACTGCATTCCCAACAAGCAGTTCAGGACATTCTGATGCAAGAGACCCCTGAACAACACTTCAAAGAAAACATGCTGCTGGCTGGGTGCGGTGGCTCATGCCTGTAATCCCAGCACTTCGGGAGGCAGAGGCGGGCAGATCACAAGGTCAAGAGATCGAGACCAGCCTGGCCAATATGGTGAAACTCCGTCTCTACTAAAAATACGAAAATTAGCCAGGCGTGGTGGTGGGCAGCTGTAGCCCCAGCTACTCGGGAGGTTGAGGCAGGAGAATCGCTCGAACCTGGGAGGTGGAGGTTGCAGTGAGCCAAGATCATGCCACTGCACTCCAGCCTGGTGACAGAGCGAGACTCCATCAAAAAAAGAAAGGAAGGAAGGAAGGAAGGAAGGAAGGAAGGAAGGAAGGAAGGAAGGAAGGGAGGGAGGGAGGGAGGGAGGGAGGGAGGGAGGGAGGGAGGGAGGGAGGGGGAAAGAAAGAAAGAAGGAAAGAAAGAGAGAGAGAGAGAGAGAGAGAAAGAAAGAAAGAAAGAAAGAAAGAAAGAAAGAAAGAAAGAAAGAAAGAAAGAAAGAAAAATACAATGAAACTCTGAACATGTGCACTGTCCTGGACATTAGACACATTGGAAGAACCTCTGGGGGTCTGAAATCGGATCCACACAACTTGATCCCTAAGTTTAAAAACATACTTTTGTGGGCTTTGAGAGTTAACACACTTACAAAAATGCCTCCACTTCCTTACTTACAAAACCTGATAGCAATTGTAAAGGAAAAGTATAGAGATGGACCAGATTTAATCACTTGAACTTGCTATTTAATCACTGCCATATAGTGGCATTAAAAAATTCAGTAAGAAAAATTCCTCATGCTAGGGAATCTAATTCTTTGAGGTCTTACTATAGATTAAGACACTAAGCAGGGAAGATTCCGACTGCTGGTCTGCCCTGTTTTCAGTCCATGTGTCAGAATAAGCCTTGTCTACCATCTGGAAACAAGTAGATCCAGAAAGAGGCTTCTCATCACTGCAGCAAGAGACTGGGGAGAAGCTGCTCACTGAGTTAATTTGTCTGTATTGATTTCACGAACATTTCAAATCAGTACATTATGAAAAGTGGGAGGGGGGATGAGAGTAAGGACCTGCTACCACTTATGTTCATTCTAGTTATCCATTATTAAACTCCTTTACAGGTTTCTGATAAAATGGCACATTAATATGTTCTATGTTAAGTATCAAATGAACTGAAAATATCTGTTGTCCATATATTGTGACAAGATCACAATGCTATTTGACTAAAAGGTATATACCAGGAGGCTTTTTGGGGGGATAAACAAGATGTACTCTTCTGACTTAGATGTAACTCCAAATACATTTTTCAAGTCTCTAGAGTTGGAAAAGCTGTTTGTGATGCCCAGAGCCTATCTTTCTCGGTCCCCTGCATGCCTACTTTCTATTCACTGTCCCACCTGACGTTTGCACAGGTACCTAGCAGATCTCCTTTTGGCCTCAATCTTAGCTTCCCTCAGAGAAAGCAAACCATCCACCTAGAATTTCTTAGATAGACTAGAATCTATAGAGGAAGGAAGGAGATTAGGGTTGCAGGAAGGAGAATAAAAGTCCATAAAAATGTTTTTCATTTTTTGGTCAGGTCGCTCTGTTTTACTATGTTGGGAAAATCAGCAGCCTTAGTTCTCAGTGACTTAGTGATAAGAACAGAATTTATAGCTCACATACTAAAAGTTATGGCTGTAACTCCTGATAATACATTTATCTCAAAGTTTTCAATTTTACTGGATTTTACAATGAGATGGTGTCACAGAAATAAAACTTTTCCTTCCTTCTACAAGAAAGTGATTAAAACCTATGATTAGGATAAACTATCTGTACCCCTTTCACCGCCACACACACCCCATCCCCAACAGCCCTGCCTTTCAAGTTTCCTTTGCAGGTGCAGACTTTTGTTTGTTTTATTTTCATACCTTAAATTATACCATTGGCTATTATAATTTTCTAAGTACTAATATTTTTTGCCTTATTCTTTAATTCTTTTATCTCCTAACAGTTTTTCCTTTACCAATTTCGGCGCTAATTTTCCATACGTAAAGAACCATGGCTGTATAAATTCTTGGTGGATTCTAACCCCTACCATTACAAAATATCACCTTTTGTCCACTTAATGCTTTCTGTCTTGAAATTGCCCCCATGCGAATACTGCCAGCCCTGTTTTCTTTTTGCTTGTGCTTGTCTAGAATTGGTACCCATCTATTTATTGTCCAAATAGTACCATTTTGTTCAAGTGCTCTCCTTGAAAACAATGTGGAAGCAGGCAGATTTTGCTTTTTTTTCCCACTGCATTTGAGGCTGTTGTCTTCTCCTAGGGAAATTTAACAAAGTTGTGCTAGTATAATTGTTAATCAAAGTTTCTTGTAAATCATCTGATCACCATTTTTTCAGTTTCAAAAGATGTACATGGATAACAAAAATACAAACAAAAAACCCCAGAAATTAAACAAGAACATAGTATGAAAAGCACAAGGCTGCCTAACTCCCATATGCCTCTACAAAAGTGAAACAATCCAGTCGCCCCTCAGTATACTCACTTGGGGGATTGGTTCCAGGACCTGTTGCATATACCAAAATCCAGGCATACTCAAGTCCTGCAGTCCACCTGCAGAATCTGCATATGCGCAAAGTCAGCCCTCCCTATACACAGGCTTTGCATCCTGGGAATACTGTATTTTCAATTCATGTTTGGTTTAAAAAAGACTGGGATATAAGAGGACTCCTGAATTCAAACCCGTGTTGTTCAAGGGTCAACGGTATATTGATTCCCTGCTAGAGGAGAACACAATTTTGAGACACAGCATCTCCTTTCCCCTCTGTCCTCTTCAGATATATAATCTTTCATTTGTTACCTTAATCATGTAATCATATTCCTAAATCTCTACTTCTCTATGTATCAAGACTAAAGAGTACCATTTCAACCATCCACTATGAAACAGAAGAAAACATATGCTCTTGTACTCCATTCCACCTCAATCCCCCCCTTACATTTTATCACCTATAATAAGCATTAATTTACAACATCAAGTTTTAGAATATTTCCATTTTGTTCAGCAAATATAATTTATCTTCCATGCTTTGCATACAGGTTAATTATGAAAAATGAAAACTAATAAAATATATTCAGTATTACAATTAGGTAAATATTTTTATTCAGTGCAGTTCCAGATGGTGAAACTAAATCAGTTAAAGGAGATATAGTCCGTTGTCACCATACTAGCTGTAAGCGTCAAGTTCCAATGTATTCTTTTTTCTTTTTTCTTATATACCATCAATTATGCAGAATTCTGTCACATTTCAGTTTACCTCATATTAAATTGGGACTTCATTTGCAAATTTCTGTTTTTCCAAGAATTTCTAATTGCCTTTTTTCTTGTTGACATAGAGACAAGTTTACTGTCTTGTTGACAGTAAAGACAAATTTTCTTAACTTGTCTTTACTGCATCAAAATCATCTAGCTGGTCAGTTTAGGTTAAGTCTAGTGTACAGCTATATATATGTATATATTTAGTGTCACTGTTTGGTTTTGGTTGTTATATTTCCTACCTTCCTACTTTCTTAAATTGCTTTTGATACAGCATATCTTCAAAATAAATTTTTAGAGACTATACATGGCAGATAAAATTACAAGTGCTTTCCAGTCTGAAAAGCAGGGATGAGTCAACAGAAGGCTTCCTGTTCAGAGTTTCAAGAACAGAAATCAATCAGCAAATAAGGCAGATGACTGCAAGAGGATGTCAGAGACAAAGCTCCAACTACTGTTAACTGTGCTCATTAGGAGATCCTAAGGGTGAATGCAGTAGCCAGCCACTCTGTGTGGGTTGTTGGCAGTGACATGTCCACACCCATTTGTGTGCTTCTGGCTGATTGCTTCTGACTCACCCACGTTCTTTCTCTGTCTACTGATGGGATCTCAGTGCATCTGCAAAAGATGAGAGATTTTTGCCAATAGAAAGCAGTAAGCATAAAGGTAGATATCACGAGAGACTTGCACCATTTTGCTAAGCTTTCCCAAGACCTTGACTTGTGGCTCGAAGCCCTCACTTTGTTTTCCCCTTATCAAAGCCCATGTTAAGGACAAGTAAAGCCAGGGGCCAATCCCATAACCAGCTCTTCTGTATTCCAAAAGGTGGCAGTTTCCAAATTAAAATCCTTCAACTTGCCATTTCCTACTCCCATATTCCTCCTGCTATTACTAGAAAGTTTTCCAAGGTTTTCTTGGGAAAACAATTCTATTTATTTCTAAGAATGAACCATGAAAGCAGGAGTTCAAAACTTTCTCTGTTTTGAAATTAGAACAATCCAACACAAATACACACCTAAGAAAAATTTTTTTCACTGTTATACTTTTCTCTTCTACTTTCCAACTGAGAAGATAAAATCCTGACTTTCAATTATGGCCAAAATTTTTAAATGTCTGGGAATTAACTCTGGGAAATTGTTTACAAATCATCATCATAATAAAAGTAATGCTATTCTCTTAATATGAATAGGCAACATGAAATGCAATAGTTGCACAGAACTTGTGAGATGAATGGGGCCAAAACTCATCTCTGGGTGATGGGATTATAGAGGTTTTTGTTATTTTTAAGCTCCTCTCTATTTTTTAAAAAAATTACTGCAATGGCTATGTACTGTTAGTGAAATTTAAAAGTTTAAAAAATAGAATAGAAATAATTATGATTTGATTATTGTAGAGATTAAGGAAATAATTTCATATCTCAATTTTCTCTGTTAAGAAAAAAAAAATCTGCAAAAAGAAAGTGTCGCTGTAACAAAGGGCAGCCTATATTGTAAGAAAGCTAACCTAGTATCTCCCAAAGCCTTTAAGAACCCCTGATAAGAGCAATGATTGACTGGAAACTTCTAAATACCTCATGGAAAGCACTATGACCATAAATTTCCATTCTGATTCAAAAGGAAAATCAGCCCAGAAAAGTCCTTCATTTCATACTGCCTCATGATTTCTCTTTCTGTTGAATTGCAAAGGGAGACAGAAAGCAGTAGGGTGCATGGGAAAATGGAAAGGAGAATCAGTACTAGAAGGCGTTAGCATAGATTCACCTTTGGCAGAAAAAAGACTTAAAAGACTTTTGATACCTGGAGAAGTGAGTTAAAGGACTCACTGATTCAGATAATCTTGGAAAAATTCTAAGAAAACATTTATGGTTCTGAAGCTTGATAGAAATTCAAGTTTAAAGAGCGATTTGGTAACCCCGTTAAAGTGAAAACATTTAAAGATGGGTGATAATTTAGCTATCATTTACCCTTGAACACACTGTGACTACCCATTCAGAAGTATAACTG
Organism: Homo sapiens; assembly: GCF_000001405.40. Lineage (NCBI taxonomy): Eukaryota > Metazoa > Chordata > Mammalia > Primates > Hominidae > Homo > Homo sapiens. The sequence goes on along the minus strand of NC_000014.9, from coordinate 72,048,131 downwards.
CATAGGAAACGTCTGAATCCGCAGTCTCTCTTGTTCCGTTCACTTTGCCTGGGAAATTTCTGGTTTGGTGAAACATAAGATGCTCATCCAGGTACCATGTGGTAGTCTACCTCAATGGTGGGCATCATACACTTAAGGCAATGCCCCCATCTGAAGTTTGTCAGGAGTTCAAGACCAGCCTGGCCAACATGGTGAAACTCTGTCTCTACTAAAAAAAAAAAAAAAAAAAAAAACAAAAATTAGCTGGGCATAGTGGCACATGCCTGTAATCCCAGCTACTCTGGAGGCTGAGGCATGAGAATCACTTGAACTCGGGAGGCAGAGGTTGCAGTGAACTGAGCGCGCCATTGCAGTCCAGCCTGGGTGACAAGAGCGAGATTCCATCTCAAAAAAAAAGAAAAAGAAATGAAGTTTGTAAATTCAAACCATGATATGAAGGCAAAAGTCAAATATCGCATTTGGATAAGGCTACCAATCACTGTTAATGCCATATCTGATAGGTATTATTTCAAGAACTGCAGACTCGTATAAGAAAGTGATCTTTGTCCAGCCTGTGTTCGCAGTCATCACTTACTTCTCCTGTGCCCCATTCTCTCAGCGGTCACTTGCCTGGCTAACCAATCTGACAAAGTATGTCTGTATGATGAAGCTGATAAATGTTAGTAGCTAAAACAGGACATATCGCCAGCTTCACTTATTAGCTGTTGGACCTTCAGTGTCCTCACGGGAAAAGGGGGATAATACCTCTTAGATATATTGTGGGGATTAAACAAAACTAACACATAAAAAGCCCTTAGTGCAGGGCCTGGCAGACAGTAAGTACTCACTAATAATAACCATTTCTATTATTCTTTCCAGAAACAACATTGTTTAATCATGGGCTTCTATAGCTTAACCACTCAGCTAGGAGACAATTCCAGATGAGAGTATCCAGTAGATTACCAGTCCAGTTGGAAACTCCAGAGTAGACCATCGTCTGGAGCTGTCACCGTGCTCAGTGTGCATTATGTCGTGTCACAAGAACAGCTGTCTACGCAAGTTACTGCCCAAAGCGGAATTTTATGTAGAAGCATCTACTATAAAGAAAATGGAGACTTACTATTTGTCCAAGCATTGGTCCTGGTGCATTCTTTCACCATAGGATCATCTAACAAAATCAGAGGGTCACAAGGCTAGGTAAATAAAGGTGTTATTATGTGAAGTCAATTTTTACTATTTGTCGATACTGGAAGGCTGTGAGTTTTTCAGTACAGCTGAAAATCAATGTGTCTTCAATAGAGGAAATCAATTTCTTGCCATGTTGGTACTCGAAGAGCCATATCCTACATGACATTTGCCCTAGAATCCTGTTATTGGCTAGAAAATTCTGAAGTTATAATATCTGAAAAGTATAGCCATTAAGGAATACTTCTAATGCTAATATAACTCTTTTTAGTGAAGGATGAGTTAAGATGAAGGAATAAGCAGAGGAGGAGGAAGAGTAGAAGGAAGAAGGGTTGGGGGAGGAGGAAGAGGAAAGGAGGGGGAGGAAGAAGAGGAGAGGAGCAGGGGAGGAAGAAGAGGAGATGGGGAGAGGAAGCAACTATTCACTTTCACACACACTGGTACCTTTCAATCTCCTCTTACTACATTGATCAAAATAAGTTACTTACTCTTAAAAAACAAAACGAAAACCTTGAGTTGGATTCTAGATTCTGCTCTACTGATGTCATTACAAGCCATGTAGATGTTGTATAATTAGAGAATTAATTTTAGAAATAAAATGTTTCAGGCTGCCAAACATAAGATTAAAATAGACATTGGACATGGGAGTTTAAAAAGCAATGAAAATAAAATGAGAGGTGTGTGTATGTGTCATGCTAAAAAGTCCAAAACAGAAATTTCAACATTAAAGCCATAATAAGGTTTAAAAAAAAAAAAAAAAAAACCCAACAATGAAATTCAGGGAGGACATTTCTCCCTAATACTAGCCTGGCAATTTGGCAATGGGGGAGACGCTCCTAGGGAGAAAAATGACTTTAATGCTTTGACCTCCATCAGGAGGATGGATGACGTCAGTGAGCCTTTGGTGAAGAAAAGGAAAGACTCAAGAAGACCTCTGAGGACTTCACTACGACCAAACTTTTGGGAACCTGAATTTCCCAATACCTCCACACGCAGCCTACCACACACACTCATATTGGGTGTCAGGACTTCCACATATAAACTTGGCGGGGTGCGGGGGCGTGGGGGGACACAAATATTCCATCCCTAATGGTAACTATTGTGAAATATGCCCAGAGGAGTTTCAAAAATAAAGGCCTACTCTCCAGAGTGGAATCCAAAAAGACTTTACCAGAGCCTTATCCACCTGAGGGAAGGACATTCCTCCTACTCTGGCCCCCTCTAGCCTTCCTATCTCATTATGGGAGCTTTTTTTTTTTTCTTTAAGAAAATAAAAGCTAAGAAACACTTGTGAAGGTCATAGGCCATGAATGCAAGCCCACTAAGAAACTGGTATGTAGTCCTAAGATTACAGAATGTTTCCCCTTCCCTACACCTTAGCACCATACCTCACCAGTAAAATAACAGATTACATTAGATTACGTCTAAAAGAGCTGCAAGATGCAAACTCTATCTGAGGAGTTCTTAGGGAATCCCAAAGACAACAGGGGAGACTGAAACAATGACGCCAGAGGAATTTGAAGCCTCTGGCACCTACAGCTACAGCAAATACTAAACACAGGCCAACTGTAGTCTGTGATTAATCTAGTCTAGATTAACATAAAACCTTATACTAAAGGTCTATTACCCAATCCATTATTTTCAGCTTTCAATGAAAATTACAAGGCATGCTAAAAGGCAAGAAAAAACAATTTGAAGAGGCAAAGTAATAATCAAACCAGATAAATACTGGACTTATCGGATAGGAAATTTAAAATAACTATGATTAATATGTGTATTAGGGTTCTCCTGAGAAACAGAACCAATAGGATAAATAGATAGACAAGAGGGGATTCATCAGGGGAATTAAATCTGATTATGGAGGCTGGGAAGTCCCATAGTACGCCATCTGCAAGCTGGAGAACCAGGGAAGCTGGTAGCATGGCTCAGTCCAAGCTCAAAAGCCTGAGAATCAGAAGAGCCAACAATGTAACTCTCAGTCCAAGGCTGAAGGCCTAAGAAACTGCGGGACTGCAGATACAAGACCCAGAATCCCTAGGGTGGAGAACCTGGAGTTTTTTGGGTTTTTTTGTTAGTTTGGTTTTTTTTGTTTTTTGAGACGGAGTCTTACTATGTTGCCCAGGCTGGAGTGCAGTGGCATCATCTCGGCTCACTGCAACCTCCACCTCCCAAGTTCAAGTGATTCTCCTGCCTCAGCCTCCCAAGTAGCTGGGATTACAGGCACCCACCACCACACTCAGCTTATTTTTTTGTATTTTTAGTAGAGACAGAGTCTCACCATGTTGGCCAGGCTGGTTTCAAACTCCTGACCTCAAGTGATCCGCCTGCCTCGGCCTCCCAAAGTGCTGGGATTACAGGCATGAGCCACCGCACCCAGCCAAGAACCTGGAGTTCTGATGTTCAAGATCAGAAGCAGATGAATGTCTCAGCTCTAGAAGGGAGGGAGAGAGGGAAAAGGAGAGGGAGAGGGAGGAAGGAAGAGAGAGAAGGGGAGAGAAAGAGAATATGAATTCATTTCTCCTCTCCCTTTTTGTTGTATCTGGGACCTCAGCTGACTGAATGGTGCCTGTCAATATTGGGGCAGGGCAGATCTTTCTTATTCAGTACGCTGATTCAAATGCCAATTTCTTCCAGAAACACCCTCATAGACATACCCAAAAATAATGCTTTTCTAGCTATCTGGGTATCCCTTCTAAAGTCAAGTTGACACCTAAAATTAACTATCACAGTATGTTAAGAACACTGATGGGAAAAGCAGACAATATGCAAGAACAGACAGGTAATGTCAACAGGGAAATGGAAACTGTAAGAGAGAATCTAAAGGAATTGCTAGAAATCAGACAAACAGAAGTGAAGAATGTTTTTGATGGGCTCATGAGGAGACTAGTCATGGCTGAAGAAAGAATCAGAGAACTTGAAGATAGCTCAATAGACACCTCCCAGATAAAAATGCAAAGAGAGAAGAAAACAGAGTGGGAGGTGGGCAGAGAAGAAAAAGAGAGGAGGAGGAGGAGAAGCGGAACAAGGAAGAGGAGGAGTAGGAAGGAGCAGCAGCAGTGACAGCAGCAGCGACCTTCCAAGAACTGTGGAATAATTGCAAAGGTGCGACATGTGTGTAACTGAACAGAAGGGGAAGAAAGAATGAAGCAAAAGAAATGTTGAAGGAATAATGACCAAGAACTTTCCAAAATAAATGACAGACACCAAAATACCAATCTAGGAAGCTTAGAGACCACCACTAAGCACAATAAATGTCAAAAATACCTACACCTGGGCTATCATATTTATACTGCTGAAAGCCAAAGTCAAATAAGAAATTTTGAAAGAAGCCAAAAGGAGGGAAACATCTATAGAGGATGAAAGTTGCAGCAGACATTTTGTTAGAAACCATGCAAGAAGAGAATGGAGAAAAATATTTAATGTGTTAAATGGGGGGAGTCCACCAACATAGATTTCTATATTCAGCAAAGTTATCCTTCAAAAGTGAAGAAAAAATAAAGACTTTTTCATACAAACAAAAACTGAGGGAATTCATTGCCAGCAAATTTGCCCATCAAAAAAATGTTAAAAGAGGTTATTCATAGAGAAGGAATATAGTATAGTCAGAAATTTGTATATATATAGAAAATTTAAAATCTAGGTGATTAATATCTGGATGGTGTGTGACTGCAGGCACAACAGCAAAGGAAAAAAGTTACTAAAGAAAGTTGTACAAATTTGACTAAATAAAAGTTTCAACCCACAATAACATAAGACAATTAAAAGCTATGCAGACTACGAATCAGGGGAAAATATTTACCACAAATCTAAAAAAAGTATTAACACCCTTAATAAATAAAGAGTAAAAACTAATTGAAAGGGACATTTCCAATATCACAATAAAGAAAAGGGCAAAGGGGATAAGAATAAACAAGCCACAGAAGCAGAATTAATGTTCAAAGAAATACAAATAAAATTACCTATCAAGTTAGCTAAAATTTTTAAAAGATAGTATTCATGAGAAACAAAAGCAATGTAACACTCTCACACTTTTTCAAAGGTAACTGGCAAAGGTAGAAAAAGTTCTAAAATCATTTATGTCCACATTATTCTTTGACCTAGAAATTCCATCTCCAGCAATCTACTTGAAGAAAACAGGATATTTTAAAAGCATATAGAATATTTCTACAAACATTTTCATGGCCCCATATTTATAATAACCTCCCAAAATAGAAATATGAGATATGGTTACATGGTCAAATGAGGTATATTACAGCAATATATTATTAGGAAAATATGCAGATATTGAAAAACCAGTGAATGTTTAACATGAAAAAAAAAGTTTATTATATAAAGCCTGGTGATCAGAGAGCAAACAGATCTGTGTATAGAGAACATTTAAATATACATAATTTTGAATACATTATACAGATACATACAAAATGTAAAGAAAATACTATAAAATGTTAACAGTAATTACTCATGTTGAATGAATTGCAGATGATTTACATATATATCCTACTAAGCATTCATCAGGTTCATAATTAGAAAAGTATTAGAGGCTGGGTGCGGTGGCTCATGCCCATAATCCCAGCACTTTGTGAGGCCGAAGCAGGAGGATCATCTGAGATCAGGAGTTTGAGACCAGCCTGGCCAACATGGTGAAACCCCATCTCTACTAAAAATACAAAAAATTAGCCAGGCATGGTGGCATGCACCTCTAATCCCAACTACTCGGGAGGCTGAGGCAGGAGAATTGCTTGAACCTGGGAGGCAGAGGTTGCGGTAAACTGAGACTGCACCACTGCCCTCTATCCTGGGCAACAGAATAAGACTCTATCTCAAAAAAAAAAAAAAAAGAAAAAGAAAAAGAAAAAGGAAAGTATTAGAGGAAATTTCTCTAGTATTAATACCCTGAAAGTAGGCAGAAGTTAAGCAGTAAATTCCTTCAGATTTTAAAGTTTCAAAAATATGTTACTCTAATCTCTATTCTAGCACCATTTTACATTTTTATAATTTAGCAGTAGTTCTATCATTAGTGATAGAAACAGATATGGAATCTTATCTACTGACCCCCCAATACAATGACATTTCTACTCTCATACACTGATAAGTATAAAATTTGATCTTCCTGGGAGGTGATATAAGTAAGATTACAAAATAGGATGCCCCAGATCTCATTCCCTGCCCACCCCCCACAGACTTACCAACAATATATTGTACAAAATGCCTTTATAAGACCTCCAGAAACCAGTTATGAAACCACAGTGCCCCTAGGCAAATACAAAGTGAAGAACAGCAGAATTAAAACAGGTAGGAAAAGTCATTTTATTTTGCTATTCTTAGCCTTTCCCCAGGCTGGCACAGCTCAATGAATTGGGAGAAAACAACCTACTCAGAGCTTCTCCTTTGGGAGGAAAAGAGGAGTGAATGCACATCCAGTGTTCCAGTTTTTCAGGGGGCTGCCTAAGAGACTAGTTTCTGTTTTGCTTAACACAGACTCTAACGGGAAACTGGTATACTTTGGACATCTAGGGCTGCAGAGAACAAAAGAACTTGATGTTTTCTTGCTGTACCGGAGAACCTACAGTACTGTGGAGTGTCACAGAGAAAGCAAGAGAACACAAACTGTTGAAAAAGAAATTAGCAAACTTCTCTAATTGGGAAATTACATGCAAGCCCAGACAAGACACATCTCCAGAGAAGGTCGCAGAGACCCTCAGAATCTCTAGCCAGGCTGACTGGTAAAGGTCTTCCCCTACACAAAGCCAGTCCATTAAGACTGGAAGAGCTGGTTGTTGTAGTTGTTTTTCAAATGCCCAAATCCCAGCAAAAATCAATGCATATGAAGAATCAGGGGAACATGGCCCAATCAAAGGAATAAAATAAATCTCCAAAAGCAGATCAGAAAAACAGATATCTATAAATTACCTGACAAAGGATTCAAAATAACCATCTTAAAGAAGTTTAAAGAGTTAACTGGGTGTACAGACAACCAGCAATAAAAAATAAACCATCCAAAAAATGAAGAATGAATAAAATGAGAATATAAATAGAAACTATTTTAAAAAAGAACCTAACAAATTCTTGAGCTGAAGAATACAACAACTGAATTGGAAGATTTACCAGAGGAGTTTAACAGCACACTTGATCAAGAGCAAAACAGAATCAATGAATTTGAAGATAGGTCATTTGAAATTTTCTAGTCAAAGCCAAAAAAGAAACAAAGAAAGAAACACCATTGAGCAGATCAATATACACATTATGAGAGTCCCTGAGAAAGAACAGTGAGAGAAAGGAGAAAATAATGACTGAAAACTTCCCAAATCTAGGGGGAAAAAGAACATCTAAATTCAAGAAAGTCAATAAACTCCAACTAGGATGAACCTGAAGAGCCTAAACTGAGGCACATTATAATCAAACTGTCAAAATCAAAAACAAAGAGAGAATCTTGAAAAACAGCAAGAGAAAAGTAAGTCATCATGTACATGAAATCTTCCATAGGATTATCAGCAGATTTCTCAGCAGAAAGTTTATACGCCAGAAGGAAGTGAGATAATATACTCAACATGCTAAAAGAAAAAAAAAAGCCAACACAAAATACCATGGCCAAAAAAGCTGTCACTCAAAAATGAAGGAGAAATAAACAAAGGCTGGGAGAGTTCATCCCCACTAGACCTGCCTTACAGGAAATGCTAATGGAAGTCCTTCAAATGAAAGGATCCTAGATATCAATATGAAAGCATATGAAAATGTAAGCTCCCTGGTAAAGGTCAATATATAGACAAATACAGAATTCTGTAATACTGTACTGGTAGGTTGTATGTCATTTTAAATTCTGGTATAGAATTTAAAAGATAAAAGCTTAAAAAATAACTACAATTATAAAACTCTATAAATGGATATGCAATATAAAAGGATATAGTTTGAAAGCTTGATTGGATATGCAATATAAAAAGGTATAATTTGAAAGATTGGTAACAAAGTAGGACGGGGGATGTAAAGGAATTTTATGTGATCAAAGTTAGGTAGTTAACAGTTTAAAATAGATTGTTACAACTATAAGATGTTTTTTGTAATCTCCATAGCAACCGCAAAGAAAATACCTATAGAAGACATACAAAAGAAAATGAGAAAGGAATTAAAGCATGTCACCAAAAAAAAAAAAAAAAAAATCAATGAAACACAAAAGAAGGCAGCAAATAAAAAGGAAAAAGGAAAAGAGGAATAGATAGATACAACATATACAGAATACAGTTAACAAAATGACAACAGAAAGTCTCTCCCAATCAGTAATTGCTTCAATGTAAATGGATTAAATGCCTCAATCAAAAGACAGAATGGCTGAAGGAATTAAAAAACAAGACCTCACTATCTGATGTATACAAGAGATTCCCTTTAGATATAATGGCACACATAAGCTGAAATGAAAGAATGGAAAAAGATATTCCATGCACATAGTAACCAAAAGAGAACAGAGGTAGCTATACCAATATTAGACAAATAGATTTTAAGTCAAAACTGTCAGAAGAAACAAAAAAGGACATTATACAACAATAAAAGGGCCAATTCATAGGGAAGATACAATAAGTATAAACGTGAGGCCCTAAATCGTTCAGGATCTATATCCCTCCTATAAACTAGCCCTAAAACTGAGCTCTGTTGACTCTCACCCTCACAATGTCAACTACCAGCTTATCTTTGCGGGTACAGGACAAGGACAAGACCAGAAATTATCTCTTCACCTACCCTGAGATTAATGCATAATTGACTTTTCCTCTGCTTCCTCTTTTTATGTTTACTTCAACTTATTTAGTAAAATGTAGATTCACTGAGTATGAGATGAATATGTAATTTACTTTTTTCATCTACTCCCTCTTTTGACATGTAAAATGTAGATTTGCTACAAAAAGAGACTTTTGTCAACCTAATAAAGGACATATCATTGGAAAACCAACAAGGATCACATCTAATGATGAAGACTGAATGCTTTCCTCCTGTGAATGAAAACAAGGCAAACTTCTATCTCCATTCCTATTTCACACCATACTGGAATTCCAAGCCAGAGCAATCAGGCAAGGAAAAGAAATAAAGATATCCTGACTGGAAAAGAAGAAATAAAACTGTCCCTGTTCACAAATGAAATTATTGTTTACATGAAAAATCCCAAGAAATAGCATACATACAAACCTCCTACAACTAATGAATGTATTTAGCAAAGTTGTAGAGTACATGTAAAAAAATGGATCATATTTTTATGTGTTAGCAATAAGGAGCTGGAAACCAAATATTTTTTAAATGCTGTTTAAAATAACTCCAAAAATGATATTTAAAACAATTCCAAAAAATTGAAATACTTACATATAAATCTAATAAATATTTATGTAAACAATTAGAGGGTATGCTGAAAACTATAAAATGCTAATGAAATAAAGAGGACCTAAATAAATGAAAAAAACATACTATGTTCAAAATTGGAAGATAGTATTGTGAAGATGTGAATCTTCCCCTAATTAATCTATAAATTTAGCACAAACCTAATCAAAATCCCAACAAGATTTTTGTAGGTAGAACTAAGGTGATTCTAAAGGTATATGGAAAGGCAAAGAAACAAGAATAGCCAAAACAATTTTGAAAAAGAACAGAGTTGGAGGAATCACACTTTTCCACTTCATCAAGGTTTCTATAAAGCTAAAGTAATTGAGATCAAGATAGCATGGTTGGCCGGGAGTGGCTCAGACCTGTAATCCCAGCACTTTGGGAGGCTGAGGCAGGCGGATTGATTGAGGCCAGGAGTTCAAGACAAGACTGGCCAACATGGTGAAACCTCGTCTCTATTAAAAATACAAAAATTAGCCAGGCATGGTGGCATGTGCCTGGAGTCCCAGCTACTTGGGAGGCTGAAGCAGGAGAATAGCTTGAACCTGGGAGGCAGAGGTTGCAGTGACTGAGATTGCACCATTGCACTCCAGCCTGGGCAACAGAGCGAGCCTCAATCTCAAAAATAAAATAAAATAATAAAAAATAAAGACAGCATGGTATTGGCAAAAAGATAAACATGTAGATCAACAGCATAGAATAGACTTCCAGAAATAAACCTACAGAAATATGGCCAACTGATATTTTAATTGAAGTATAACTCACATACAGTAAAATTCACTGACTTAAAGTGTGTAAATTGATGTTTTGACAAATGCATATGCCCACATAACACACCCTGTAACGTGTATTCCCATTTCCATTACTTCAGAAAGTTCTGCTCTGCTGCATATACCCATGGGCAACTACAGTTTTACCAACTGAGTTTTTGATAAATTTGCAGAGGCAATTCATCAGAGAAAGGACAGTCTTCTGAATAAACGGTGTTTGAAGCATTCAAACATCTAAATGCAAGAAAATGAACCTTGACCTAAATCTCATACTGTGTCTGGAGTTGGTTCCTTCTGGTAGGTTCTTGGTCTCACTGACTTCAAGAATTGGGACCTTCGTGGTGAGTGTTACAGCTCTTAAAGATGGTGTGTCTGGAGTTTGTTCCTTCAGATGTATCCAGAGTTTCTTCCTTCTGGTGAGTTCACGGCCTCGCTGATTTCAAGAATGAAGCCGCAGACCTTCGCAGTGAGTGTTACAGCTCTTAAAGGTGGTGCGGACCCAAAGAGTGAGCAGCAGCAAGATTTATTGTGAAGAGTGAAAGAACAAAGCTTCCACAGTGTGGATGGAAGGGACCCGAGCAGGTTGCTGCTGCTGGCTTGGGTGGCCAGCTTTTATTCCCTTATTTGGCCCCATCTATGTCCTGCTGATTGGTCCATTTTACAGAGTGCTGATTGGTGCATTTACAATCCTTTAGCTAGACATAAAGCACTGATTGGTACGTTTTTACAGAGTGCTGATTAGTGCATTTACAATCTTTTAGCTAGACACAAAGCGCTGATTGGTGTGTTTTTACAGAGTGCTGATTGGTGTATTTACAATCCTTCAGCTAGACACAGGAAAGTTCTCCAAGTCCCCACCTGACCCAGAAGCCCAGCTGGCTACACCTCTCAATACCTTATACCAAAATTAACTCAAACTAAGTTACACATTTAAATGTAAAATATAAAATTATAAAATTTTTATAACTAAAGGGGTAAATCATGATCTATAACAGAAAAAATAAATCACACCATCATAATTAAAACCTTGTTTTTAGAAAGACACTGTTAAAAGAATAAAAAGGCAAACTACAGACTGGGAGAAAATATTTACAGATCACATATCCAGCAAAATACTTGCACTCAGAATATATTAAGGACTCTCAAAACTCAATATTGAGAGAACAAGCAGTCCAATTTTTAAAATGAGCAAAAGACCTGAACAGACACTTCACCAAAGGGGACGTAGGGTCGGCAAATAAGCACATGAAAAGATGTTCAGCATCATTGGCCATTTGAAAAATGTAGATTAAAATCATGATAAAATACCCTATACACATATTAGAATGGCTGAAATTTGAAAATACTCTGGCAAACAGTGTGGCAGTTTCTCATAAAGTTACAGGCACATCTACCGGTTGACTCAGCAACCTTACTTCTAGGAATTACCTAAGCATTACAATATGAAAACATATCTGTACCCCAAAACCTGTATAAGAATGATTATAGAAGCTTAATTCTTAATTATCAAAAACTGGAAACAGCCAAATGCTCTACAATGGGTGAAAAACAAAACAAAACAAAACAAAACAAAACGGGTTATGTTCACACAGTGGAATTCTGCTCAGCCATAATAATAATAATAATAATAATAATAATATGTTTACATGCAACAACTTGGATGAGTCTTCGAGGCATTATGCAGAGTGAAAGACGCCAGTCTCAAAAGATTATATACGGTAGGATTTCATTTATGTGACCTTGTGGAAAAGACAAAACTTTGGTGATGGGTAACAGGGTAGTGCTTGCTAAAGGTTAGTGTTACGGGTGGGACTAGGGATATTGACTACAAAAGGATGACATGAGGGAGTTCTCTGGGGTGACGGAACTGTTTTGTATTCTCAT